>NC_000014.9:17857230-18015376 GCF_000001405.40 Homo sapiens | reverse complement strand
AGAACGAGTGTTTCAAACCTGCTCTATGAAAGGGAATCTTCAACTCTATGAGTTGAATGCAGACATCAGAAAGAAATTTCTGAGAATGCTGCTGTCTACCTTTTATTTGAATTCCCGCTTCCAACGAAATCCCCCAAGCTATCCAAATATCCACCTGCATTTTCCACAACAAGAGTGTTTCAAAACTGCTCTATCAATAGAAATGTTCAACTCCTTTGGCTGGGTACACACATCACAAACAAGTTTCTGAGAATGCTTCTGTCTAGTTTTTATGGGAAGACATTCCCTTTTTCACCAAAGGCATCAAAGCGCTCCAAATGTCCACTTCCAGACACTGCAAAAAGAGTGTTTCAAACGTGCTCTAAGAAAGCGAATGTTCAACTCTGTGACTTGAATGCAGATATCACAAAGTAGTTTCTGAGAGGGCTTCTGTCTAGATTTTAGATGATGATATTCCCGTTTCCAACGAAATCATTAGAGCTATCCAAATATCCACTTACAGTTTCTACAAAAAGAGTGTTTCCAAACTGTTGCATCAGAAGAGAGGTTCCACTCTGTTAGCTGAGTACACACATCACAAACTTGTTTCTGAGAATCCTTCTGTCTCGTTTTTCTGGGAAGATATTTACTTTTTCACCGTAGGCATCAAAGCGCTCCAAATGTCCACATCCAGATACTCCAGAAAGAGTGTTTCAAACCTGCTCTATGAAAGGGAATCTTCAACTCTATGAGTTGAATGCAGACATCAGAAAGAAATTTCTGAGAATGCTGCTGTCTACCTTTTATTTGAATTCCCGCTTCCAACGAAATCCTCCAAGCTATCCAAATATCCACTTGCAGATTCAGGAAAAAGAGTGTTTCAAAACTGCTCTCTATCAATGGCAAAGTTCAACTCTGTTAGTTGAGGACACATATCGCCAACAAGTTTCTGAGAATGCTTCTGTCTATTTTTTATGGGTAGATATTTCCTTTTTCACCGTAGGCGTCAAGGCGATCGAAATGTCCACTTCCACAAACTACAAAAAAGAGTGTTTCAAACCTGCTCTATGAAAGGCCATGTTCATCTCTATGAGTTGAATGGAAATATCCGAAAGAAATTTCTGGGAATGCTGCTGTCTAGTTGTTATACGAATTCCCGCTTCCAACGAAATCCTCAAAGCAATCCAAATATCCACTTGCAGAATCCACAAAAAGAGTGTTTCAAAACTGCTCTATCAATAGAAAGGTTCAACTCTTTTAGTTGAGTACACACATCACAAACAAGTTTCTGAGAATGCTTCTGTCTGGCTTTTATTGGAAGACGTTTCCTTTTCACCAAAGGCATCAAAGCGCTCCAAATGTCCACTTCCAGATTCTTCCAAAAGAGTGTTTGAAACGTGCTCAAAGTAAGGGAATGTTCAACTCTGTGACTTGAATGCAGATATCACCAAGTAGTTTCTAATAGTGCTTCTGTCTAGATTTTAGATGATGATATTCCCGTTTCCAACAAAATCGTTAGAGCTATCCAAATATCCAGTTACAGTTTCTACCAAAAGGGTGTTTCCAAATTGCTGCATCAAAAGAAAGGTTCAACTCTGTTAGTTGAGGAAACACATCACAAAGAAGTTTGTGAGAATGCTTCTGTCTAGATTTTGTATGACGATATTCCCTTTTCCAACGATATCGTTAAAGCAATCTAAATATCAATTTGCAGAATCCACAAAAATAGAGTTTCAAAGCTGCTCTGTAAAAAGAAAGGTTCCACTCTGTTAGCTGAGTACACACATCACAAACTTGTTTCTGAGAATCCTGCTGTCTACCTTTTATTTGAATTCCCGCTTCCAACGAAATCCTCCAAGCTATCCAAATATCCACCTGCATTTTCCACAAAAAGAGTGTTTCAAAACTGCTCTATCAATAGAAATGTTCAACTCCTTTGGCTGGGTACACACATCACAAACAAGTTTCTGAGAATGCTTCTGTCTAGTTTTTATGGGAAGACATTCCCTTTTTCCCCAAAGACATCAAAGCGCTCCAAATGTCCACTTCCAGACACTACAAAAAGAGTGTTTCAAACGTGCTCTAAGAAAGCGAATGTTCAACTCTGTGACTTGAATGCAGATATCACAAAGTAGTTTCTGAGAGGGCTTCTGTCTAGATTTTAGATGATGATATTCCGGTTTCCAACGAAATCATTAGAGCTATCCAAATATCCACTTACAGTTTCTACAAAAAGAGTGTTTCCAAACTGCTGCATCAAAAGAGAGGTTCCACTCTGTTAGCTGAGTACACACATCACAAACTTGTTTCTGAGAATCCTGCTGTCTACCTTTTATTTGAATTCCCGCTTCCAACGAAATCCTCCAAGCTATCCAAATATCCACTTGCAGATTCCACAAAAAGAGTGTTTCAAAACTGCTCTCTATCAATGGCAAAGTTCAACTCTGTTAGTTGAGGACACATATCACCAACAAGTTTCTGAGAATGCTTCTGTCTATTTTTTATGGGAAGATATTTCCTTTTTCACCGTAGGCGTCAAGGCGATCGAAATGTCCACTTCCACAAACTACAAAAAGAGTGTTTCAAACCTGCTCTATGAAAGGCCATGTTCATCTCTATGAGTCGAATGGAAATATCCGAAAGAAATTTCTGGGAATGCTGCTGTCTAGTTTTTATACGAATTCCCGCTTACAACGAAATCCTCAAAGCAATCCAAATATCCACTTGCAGAATCCACAAAAAGAGTGTTTCAAAACTGCTCTATCAATAGAAAGGTTCAACTCTTTTAGTTGAGTACACACATCACAAACAAGTTTCTGAGAATGCTTCTGTCTGGCTTTTATTGGAAGACGTTTCCTTTTCACCAAAGGCATCATCAAAGCGCTCCAAATGTCCACTTCCAGATTCTTCCAAAAGAGTGTTTCAAACGTGCTCAAAGTAAGGGAATGTTCAACTCTGTGACTTGAATGCAGATATCACCAAGTAGTTTCTAATAGTGCTTCTGTCTAGATTTTAGATGATGATATTCCCGTTTCCAACGAAATCGTTAGAGCTATCCAAATATCCAGTTACAGTTTCTACCAAAAGGGTGTTTCCAAATTGCTGCATCAAAAGAAAGGTTCAACTCTGTTAGTTGAGGACACACATCACAAAGAAGTTTGTGAGAATGCTTCTGTCTAGATTTTGTATGACGATATTCCCTTTTCCAGCGATATCGTTAAAGCAATCTAAATATCCATTTGCAGAATCCACAAAAATAGAGTTTCAAAGCTGCTCTGTAAAAAGAAAGGTTCCACTCTGTTAGCTGAGTACACACATCACAAACTTGTTTCTCAGAATCCTTCTGTCTCGTTTTTATGGGAAGATATTTACATTTTCACCGTAGGCATCAAAGCACTCCAAATGTCCACATCCAGATACTCCAGAAAGACTGTTTCAAACCTGCTCTATGAAAGGGAATCTTCAACTCTATGAGTTGAATGCAGACATCAGAAAGAAATTTCTGAGAATGCTGCTGTCTACCTTTTATTTGAATTCCCGCTTCCAACGAAATCCTCCAAGCTATCCAAATATCCACCTGCATTTTCCACAAAAAGAGCGTTTCAAAACTGCTCTATCAATAGAAATGTTCAACTCCTTTGGCTGGGTACACACATCACAAACAAGTTTCTGAGAATGCTTCTGTCTAGTTTTTATGGGAAGACATTCTCTTTTTCACCAAAGGCATCAAAGCGCTCCAAATGTCCACTTCCAGACACTACAAAAAGAGTGTTTCCAACGTGCTCTAAGAAAGCGAATGTTCAACTCTGTGACTTGAATGCAGATATCACAAAGTAGTTTCTGAGAGGGCTTCTGTCTAGATTTTAGATGATGATATTCCCTTTTCCAACGAAATCATTAGAGCTATCCAAATATCCACTTACAGTTTCTACAAAAAGAGTGTTTCCAAACTGCTGTATCAAAACAGAGGTTCCACTCTGTTAGCTGAGTACACACATCACAAACTTGTTTCTCAGAATCCTGCTGTCTACCTTTTATTTGAATTCCCGCTTCCAACGAAATCCTCCAAACTATCCAAATATCCACTTGCAGATTCAGGAAAAAGAGTGTTTCAAAACTGCTCTCTATCAATGGCAAAGTTCAACTCTGTTAGTTGAGGACACATATCACCAACAAGTTTCTGAGAATGCTTCTGTCTATTTTTTATGGGAAGATATTTCCTTTTTCACCGTAGGCGTCAAGGCGATCGAAATGTCCACTTCCACAAACTACAAAAAGAGTGTTTCAAACCTGCTCTATGAAAGGCCATGTTCATCTCTATGAGTCGAATGGAAATATCTGAAAGAAATTTCTGGGAATGCTGCTGTCTAGTTTTTATACGAATTCCCGCTTCCAACGAAATCCTCAAAGCAATCCAAATATCCACTTGCAGAATCCACAAAAAGAGTGTTTCAAAACTGCTCTATCAATAGAAAGGTTCAACTCTTTTAGTTGAGTACACACATCACAAACAAGTTTCTGAGAATGCTTCTGTCTGGCTTTTATTGGAAGACGTTTCCTTTTCACCAAAGGCATCAAAGCGCTCCAAATGTCCACTTCCAGATTCTTCCAAAAGAGTGTTTCAAACGTGCTCGAAGTAAGGGAATGTTCTACTCTGTGACTTGAATGCAGATATCACCAAGTAGTTTCTAATAGTGCTTCTGTCTACATTTTAGATGATGATATTCCCGTTTCCAACGAAATCGTTAGAGCTATCCAAATATCCAGTTACAGTTTCTACCAAAAGGGTGTTTCCAAATTGCTGCATCAAAAGAAAGGTTCAACTCTGTTAGTTGAGGACACACATCACAAAGAAGTTTGTGAGAATGCTTCTGTCTAGATTTTGTATGACGATATTCCCTTTTCCAACGATATCGTTAAAGCAATCTAAATATCAATTTGCAGAATCCACAAAACTAGAGTTTCAAAGCTGCTCTGTAAAAAGAAAGGTTCCACTCTGTTAGCTGAGTACACACATCACAAACTTGTTTCTGAGAATCCTTCTGTCTCGTTTTTATGGGAAGATATTTACTTTTTCACCGTAGGCATCAAAGCGCTCCAAATGTCCACATCCAGATACTCCAGAAAGAGTGTTTCAAACCTGCTCTATGAAAGGGAATCTTCAACTCTATGAGTTGAATGCAGACATCAGAAAGAAATTTCTGAGAATGCTGCTGTCTACCTTTTATTTGAATTCCCTCTTCCAACGAAATCCTCCAAGCTATCCAAATATCCACCTGCATTTTCCACAAAAAGAGTGTTTCAAAACTGCTCTATCAATAGAAATGTTCAACTCCTTTGGCTGGGTACACACATCACAAACAAGTTTCTGAGAATGCTTCTGTCTAGTTTTTATGGGAAGACATTCCCTTTTTCACCAAAGGCATCAAAGCGCTCCAAATGTCCACTTCCAGACACTACAAAAAGAGTGTTTCAAACGTGGTCGAAGTAAGGGAATGTTCAACTCTGTGACTTGAATGCAGATATCACCAAGTAGTTTCTAATAGTGCTTCTGTCTAGATTTTAGATGATGATATTCCCGTTTCCAACGAAATCATTAGAGCTATCCAAATATCCACTTACAGTTTCTACAAAAAGAGTGTTTCCAAACTGCTGCATCAAAAGAGGGGTTCCACCTCTGTTAGCTGAGTACACACATCACAAACTTGTTTCTCAGAATCCTTCTGTCTAGTTTTTATGGGAAGATATTTACTTTTTCACCGTAGGCATCAAAGAGTTCCAAATGTCCACATGCAGATAGTACAGAAAGAGTGTTTCAAACCTGCTGTATGAAAGGGAATGTTCAACTCTATGAGTTGAATGCAAGCATCACAAAGAAATTTCTGAGAATGCTTGCTGTCTACCTTTTATTTGAATTCCCGCTTCCAACGAAATCCTCCAAGCTATCCAAATATCCACTTGCATATTCCACAAAAAGAGTGTTTCAAAACTGCTCTCTATCAATGGCAAAGTTCAACTCTGTTAGTTGAGGACACATATCACCAACAAGTTTCTGAGAATGCTTCTGTCTATTTTTTATGGGAAGATATTTCCTTTTTCACCGTAGGCGTCAAGGTGATCGAAATGTCCACTTCCACAAACTACAAAAAGAGTGTTTCAAACCTGCTCTATGAAAGGCCATGTTCTTCTCTATGAGTTGAATGGAAATATCCGAAAGAAATTTCTGGTAATGCTGCTGTCTAGTTATTATATGAATTCCCGCTTCCAACGAAATCCTCAAAGCAATCCAAATATCCACTTGCAGAATCCACAAAAAGAGTGTTTCAAAACTGCTCTATCAATAGAAAGGTTCAACTCTTTTAGTTGAGTACACACATCACAAACAAGTTTCTGAGAATGCTTCTGTCTGGCTTTTATTGGAAGACGTTTCCTTTTCACCAAAGGCATCAAAGCGCTCCAAATGTCCACTTCCAGATTCTTCCAAAAGAGTGTTTCAAACGTGCTCGAAAGTAAGGGAATGTTCAACTCTGTGACTTGAATGCAGATATCACCAAGTAGTTTCTAATAGTGCTTCTGTCTACATTTTAGATGATGATATTCCCGTTTCCAACGAAATCGTTAGAGCTATCCAAATATCCAGTTACAGTTTCTACCAAAAGGGTGTTTCCAAATTGCTGCATCAAAAGAAAGGTTCAACTCTGTTAGTTGAGGACACACATCACAAAGAAGTTTGTGAGAATGCTTCTGTCCAGATTTTGTATGACGATATTCCCTTTTCCAACGATATCATTAAAGCAATCTAAATATCCATTTGCAGAATCCACAAAAATAGAGTTTCAAAGCTGCTCTGTAAAAAGAAAGGTTCCACTCTGTTAGCTGAGTACACACATCACAAACTTGTCTCTCAGAATCCTTCTGTCTCGTTTTTATGGGAAGATATTTACTTTTTCACCGTAGGCATCAAAGGGCTCCAAATGTCCACATCCAGATACTCCAGAAAGAGTGTTTCAAACCTGCTCTATGAAAGGGGAATGTTCAACTCTATGAGTTGAATGCAGACATCAGAAAGAAATTTCTGAGAATGCTGCTGTCTACCTTTTATTTGAATTCCCGCTTCCAACGAAATCCTCCAAGCTATCCAAATATCCACCTGCATTTTCCACAAAAAGAGTGTTTCAAAACTGCTCTATCAATAGAAATGTTCAACTCCTTTGGCTGGGTACACACATCACAAACAAGTTTCTGAGAATGCTTCTGTCTAGTTTTTATGGGAAGACGTTCCCTTTTTCACCAAAGGCATCAAAGCGCTCCAAATGTCCACTTCCAGACACTACAAAAAGAGTGTTTCAAACGTGCTCTAAGAAAGTGAATGTTCAACTCTGTGACTTGAATGCAGATATCACAAAGTAGTTTCTGAGAGGGCTTCTGTCTAGATTTTAGATGATGATATTCCCGTTTCCAACGAAATCATTAGAGCTATCCAAATATCCACTTACAGTTTCTACAAAAAGAGTGTTTCCAAACTGCTGCATCAAAAGAGAGGTTCCACTCTGTTAGCTGAGTACACACATCACAAACTTGTTTCTCAGAATCCTTCTGTCTCGTTTTTATGGGAAGATATTTACTTTTTCACCGTAGGCATCAAAGCGCTCCAAATGTCCACATCCAGATACTCCAGAAAGAGTGTTTCAAACCTGCTCTATGAAAGGGAATCTTCAACTCTATGAGTTGAATGCAGACATCAGAAAGAAATTTCTGAGAATGCTGCTGTCTACCTTTTATTTGAATTCCCGCTTCCAACAAAATCCTCCAAGCTATCCAAATATCCACTTGCAGATTCCACAAAAAGAGTGTTTCAAAACTGCTCTCTATCAATGGCAAAGTTCAACTCTGTTAGTTGAGGACACATATCACCAACAAGTTTCTGAGAATGCTTCTGTCTATTTTTTATGGGAAGATATTTCCTTTTTCACCGTAGGCGTCAAGGCGATCCAAATGTCCACTTCCACAAACTACAAAAAGAGTGTTTCAAACGTGCTCTATGAAAGGCGATGTTCATCTCTATGAGTTGAATGGAAATATCCGAAAGAAATTTCTGGGAATGCTGCTGTCTAGTTTTTATACGAATTCCCGCTTCCAACGAAATCCTCAAAGCAATCCAAATATCCACTTGCAGAATCCACAAAAAGAGTGTTTCAAAACTGCTCTATCAATAGAAAGGTTCAACTCTTTTAGTTGAGTACACACATCACAAACAAGTTTCTGAGAATGCTTCTGTCTGGCTTTTATTGGAAGACGTTTCCTTTTCACCAAAGGCATCAAAGCGCTCCAAATGTCCACTTCCAGATTCTTCCAAAAGAGTGTTTGAAACGTGCTCAAAGTAAGGGAATGTTCCACTCTGTGACTTGAATGCAGATATCACCAAGTAGTTTCTAATAGTGCTTCTGTCTAGATTTTAGATGATGATATTCCCGTTTCCAACGAAATCGTTAGAGCTATCCAAATATCCACTTACAGTTGCTACAAAAACAGTGTTTCCAAACTGCTGCATCAAAAGAAAGGTTCAACTCTGTTAGTTGAGGACACACGTCACAAAGAAGTTTGTGAGAATGCTTCTGTCCAGATTTTGTATGACGATATTCTCTTTTCCAACGATATCGTTAAAGCAATCTAAATATCCATTTGCAGAATCCACAAAAATAGAGTTTCAAAGCTGCTCTGTAAAAAGAAAGGTTCCACTCTGTTAGCTGAGTACACACATCACAAACTTGTTTCTGAGAATCCTTCTGTCTCGTTTTTATGGGAAGATATTTACTTTTCCACCGTAGGCATCAAAGCGCTCCAAATGTCCACATCCAGATACTCCAGAACGAGTGTTTCAAACCTGCTCTATGAAAGGGAATCTTCAACTCTATGAGTTGAATGCAGACATCAGAAAGAAATTTCTGAGAATGCTGCTGTCTACCTTTTATTTGAATTCCCGCTTCCAAGGAAATCCTCCAAGCTATCGAAATATCCACTAGCATTTTCCACAAAAAGAGTGTTTCAAAACTGCTCTATCAATAGAAACGTTCAACTCCTTTAGCTGGGTACACACATCACAAACAAGTTTCTGAGAATGCTTCTGTCTAGTTTTTATGGGTAGACATTCCCTTTTTCACCAAAGGAATCAAAGCACTCCAAATGTCCACTTCCAGACACTACAAAAAGAGTGTTTCAAACGTGCTCTAAGAAAGCGAATGTTCAACTCTGTGACTTGAATGCAGATATCACAAAGTAGTTTCTGAGAGTGCTTCTGTCTAGATTTTAGATGATGATATTCCCGTTTCCAACGAAATCATTAGAGCTATCCAAATATCCACTTACAGTTTCTACAAAAAGAGTGTTTCCAAACTACTGCATCAAAAGAGAGGTTCCACTCTGTTAGCTGAGTACACACATCACAAACTTGTTTCTCAGAATCCTTCTGTCTCGTTTTTATGGGAAGATATTTACTTTTTCACCGTAGGCATCAAAGCGCTCCAAATGTCCACAACCAGATACTACAGAAAGAGTATTTCAAACCTGCCCTATGAAAGGGAATGCTCAACTCTATGAGTTGAATGCAGACATCAGAAAGAAATTTCTGAGAATGCTGCTGTCTACCTTTTATTTGAATTCCCGCTTCCAACGAAATCCTCCAAGCTATCCAAATATCCACTTGCAGATTCCACAAAAAGAGTGTTTCAAAACTGCTCTCTATCAATGGCAAAGTTCAACTCTGTTAGTTGAGGACACATATCACCAACAAGTTTCTGAGAATGCTTCTGTCTATTTTTTATGGGAAGATATTTCCTTTTTCACCGTAGGCGTCAAGGCGATCGAAATGTCCACTTCCACAAACTACAAAAAGAGTGTTTCAAACCTGCTCTATGAAAGGCCATGTTCATCTCTATGAGTTGAATGGAAATATCCGAAAGAAATTTCTGGGAATGCTGCTGTCTAGTGTTTATACGAATTCCCGCTTCCAACGAAATCCTCAAAGCAATCCAAATATCCACTTGCAGAATCCACAAAAAGAGTGTTTCAAAACTGCTCTATCAATAGAAAGGTTCAACTCTTTTAGTTGAGTACACACATCACCAACAAGTTTACTGAGAATGCTTCTGTCTGGCTTTTATTGGAAGACGTTTCCTTTTCACCAAAGACATCAAAGCGCTCCAAATGTCCACTTCCAGATTCTTCCAAAAGAGTGTTTCAAACGTGCTCGAAGTAAGGGAATGTTCTACTCTGTGACTTGAATGCAGATATCACCAAGTAGTTTCTAATAGTGCTTCTGTCTAGATTTTAGATGATGATATTCCCGTTTCCAACGAAATCGTTAGAGCTATCCAAATATCCACTTACAGTTTCTACAAAAACAGTGTTTCCAAACTGCTGCATCAAAAGAAAAGTTCAACTCTGTTAGTTGAGGACACACATCACAAAGAAGTTTGTGAGAATGCTTTCTGTCTGGATTTTGTATGAAGATATTCCCTTTTCCAACGATGTCGCTAAATCAACCCAAATATCAATTTGCAGAATCCACAGAAATAGAGTTTCAAAGCTGCTCTGTAAGAAGAAAGTATCCACTCTGTTAGCTGAGTACACACATCACAAACTTGTTTCTGAGAATCCTTCTGTCTAGTTTTTATGGGAAGATATTTACTTTTTCACAGTAGGTATCAAAGCGCAACAAATGTCCACATCCAGATACTACAGAAAGAGTGTTTCACACCTGCTCTATGAAAGGGAATCTTCAACTCTATGAGTTGAATGCAGACATCAGAAAGTAATTTCTGAGAATGCTCCTGTCTACCTTTTATTTGAATTCCCGCTTCCAACGAAATCCTCCAAGCTATCCAAATATCCACCTGCATTTTCCACAAAAAGAGCGTTTCAAAACTGCTCTATCAATAGAAATGTTCAACTCCTTTGGCTGGGTACACACATCACAAACAAGTTTCTGAGAATGCTTCTGTCTAGTTTTTATGGGTAGACATTCCCTTTTTCACCAAAGGAATCAAAGCGCTCCAAATGTCCACTTCCAGACACTACAAAAAGAGTGTTTCAAACGTGCTCTAAGAAAGCGAATGTTCAACTCTGTGACTTGAATGCAGATATCACAAAGTAGTTTCTGAGAGTGCTTCTGTCTAGATTTTGTATGACGATATTCCCTTTTCCAACGATATCGTTAAAGCAATCTAAATATCAATTTGCAGAATCCAGAAAAATAGAGTTTCAAAGCTGCTCTGTAAAAAGAAAGGTTCCACTCCGTTAGCTGAGTACACACATCACAAACTTGTTTCTGAGAATCCTTCTGTCTCGTTTTTATGGGAAGATATTTACTTTTCCACCGTAGGCATCAAAGCGCTCCAAATGTCCACATCCAGATACTCCAGAACGAGTGTTTCAAACCTGCTCTATGAAAGGGAATCTTCAACTCTATGAGTTGAATGCAGACATCAGAAAGAAATTTACTGAGAATGCTGCTGTCTACCTTTAATTTGAATTCCCGCTTCCAACGAAATCCTCCAAGCTATCCAAATATCCACTTGCAGATTCCACAAAAAGAGTGTTTCAAAACTGCTCTCTATCAATGGCAAAGTTCAACTCTGTTAGTTGAGGACACATATCACCAAGAAGTTTCTGAGAATGCTTCTGTCTATTTTTTATGGGAAGATATTTCCTTTTTCACCGTAGGCGTCAAGGCGATCGAAATGTCCACTTCCACAAACTACAAAAAGAGTGTTTCAAACCTGCTCTATGAAAGGCCATGTTCATCTCTATGAGTCGAATGGAAATATCCGAAAGAAATTTCCTGGGAATGCTGCTGTCTAGTTTTTATACGAATTCCCGCTTCCAACGAAATCCTCAAAGCAATCCAAATATCCACTTGCAGAATCCACAAAAAGAGTGTTTCAAAACTGCTCTTTCAATAGAAAGGTTCAACTCTTTTAGTTGAGTACACACATCACAAACAAGTTTCTGAGAATGCTTCTGTCTAGTTTTTATGGGAAGACGTTCCCTTTTTCACCAAAGGCATCAAAGCGCTCCAAATGTCCACTTCCAGACACTACAAAAAGAGTGTTTCAAACGTGCTCTAAGAAAGCGAATGTTCAACTCTGTGACTTGAATGCAGATATCACCAAGTAGTTTCTAATAGTGCTTCTGTCTACATTTTAGATGATGATATTCCCGTTTCCAACGAAATCGTTAGAGCTATCCAAATATCCAGTTACAGTTTCTACCAAAAGGGTGTTTCCAAATTGCTGCATCAAAAGAAAGGTTCAACTCTGTTAGTTGAGGACACACATCACAAAGAAGTTTGTGAGAATGCTTCTGTCCAGATTTTGTATGACGATATTCCCTTTTCCAACGATATCGTTAAAGCAATCTAAATATCCATTTGCAGAATCCACAAAAATAGAGTTTCAAAGCTGCTCTGTAAAAAGAAAGGTTCCACTCTGTTAGCTGAGTACACACATTACAAACTTGTTTCTGAGAATCCTTCTGTCTCGTTTTTATGGGAAGATATTTACTTTTTCACCGTAGGCATCAAAGCGCTCCAAATGTCCACATCCAGATACTCCAGAAACAGTGTTTCAAACCTGCTCTATGAAAGGGAATCTTCAACTCTATGAGTTGAATGCAGACATCAGAAAGAAATTTCTGAGAATGCTGCTGTCTACCTTTTATTTGAATTCCCGCTTCCAACGAAATCCTCCAAGCTATCCAAATATCCACTTGCATTTTCCACAAAAAGAGTGTTTCAAAACTGCTCTATCAATAGAAATGTTCATCTCCTTTAGCTGGGTACACACATCACAAACAAGTTTCTGAGAATGCTTTCTGTCTAGTTTTTATGGGAAGACGTTCCCTTTTTCACCAAAGGCATCAAAGCGCTCCAAATGTCCACTTCCAGACACTACAAAAAGAGTGTTTCCAACGTGCTCTAAGAAAGCGAATGTTCAACTCTGTGACTTGAATGCAGATATCACAAAGTAGTTTCTGAGAGGGCTTCTGTCTAGATTTTAGATGATGATATTCCCGTTTCCAACGAAATCATTAGAGCTATCCAAATATCCACTTACAGTTTCTACAAAAAGAGTGTTTCCTAACTGCTGCATCAAAAGAGAGGTTCCACTCTGTTAGCTGAGTACACACATCACAAACTTGTTTCTCAGAATCCTTCTGTCTAGCTTTTATGGGAAGATATTTACTTTTTCACCGTAGGCATCAAAGCGTTCCAAATGTCCACATCCAGATAGTACAGAAAGAGTGTTTCAAACCTGCTCTATGAAAGGGAATGTTCAACTCTATGAGTTGAATGCAAACATCACAAAGAAATTTCTGAGAATGCTGCTGTCTACCTTTTATTTGAATTCCCGCTTCCAACGAAATCCTCCAAGCTATCCAAATATCCACTTGCAGATTCCACAAAAAGAGTGTTTCAAAACTGCTATCAATGGCAAAGTTCAACTCTGTTAGTTGAGGACACATATCACCAACAAGTTTCTGAGAATGCTTCTGTCTATTTTTTATGGGAAGATATTTCCTTTTTCACCGTAGGCGTCAAGGCGATCGAAATGTCCACTTCCACAAACTACAAAAAGAGTGTTTCAAACCTGCTCTATGAAAGGCCATGTTCATCTCTATGAGTTGAATGGAAATATCCGAAAGAAATTTCTGGGAATGCTGCTGTCTAGTTGTTATACGAATTCCCGCTTCCAACGAAATCCTCAAAGCAATCCAAATATCCACTTGCAGAATCCACAAAAAGAGTGTTTCAAAACTGCTCTATCAATAGAAAGGTTCAACTCTTTTAGTTGAGTACACACATCAAGAACAAGTTTCTGAGAATGCTTCTGTCTGGCTTTTATTGGAAGACGTTTCCTTTTCACCAAAGGCATCAAAGCGCACCAAATGTCCACTTCCAGATTCTTCCAAAAGAGTGTTTCAAACGTGCTCAAAGTAAGGGAATGTTCAACTCTTTGACTTGAATGCAGATATCACCAAGTAGTTTCTAATAGTGCTTCTGTCTAGATTTTAGATGATGATATTCCCGTTTCCAACGAAATCGTTAGAGCTATCCAAATATCCAGTTACAGTTTCTACCAAAAGGGTGTTTCCAAACTGCTGCATCAAAAGAAAGGTTCAACTCTGTTAGTTGAGGACACACATCACAAAGAAGTTTGTGAGAATGCTTCTGTCTAGATTTTGTATGACGATATTCCCTTTTCCAACGATATCGTTAAAGCAAACTAAATATCAATTTGCAGAATCCACAAAAATAGAGTTTCAAAGCTGCTCTGTAAAAAGAAAGGTTCCACTCTGTTAGCTGAGTACACACATCACAAACTTGTTTCTGAGAATCCTTCTGTCTCGTTTTTATGGGAAGATAGTTACTTTTTCACCGTAGGCATCAAAGCGCTCCAAATGTCCACATCCAGATACTCCAGAAAGACTGTTTCAAACCTGCTCTATGAAAGGGAATCTTCAACTCTATGAGTTGAATGCAGACATCAGAAAGAAATTTCTGAGAATGCTGCTGTGTACCTTTTATTTGAATTCCCGCTTCCAAAGAAATCCTCCAAGCTATCCAAATATCCACCTGCATTTTCCACAACAAGAGTGTTTCAAAACTGCTCTATCAATAGAAATGGTCAACTCCTTTGGCTGGGTACACACATCACAAACAAGTTTCTGAGAATGCTTCTGTCTAGTTTTTATGGGAAGACATTCCCTTTTTCACCAAAGGCATCAAAGCGCTCCAAATGTCCACTTCCAGACACTACAAAAAGAGTGTTTCCAACGTGCTCTAAGAAAGCGAATGTTCAACTCTGTGACTTGCATGCAGATATCACAAAGTAGTTTCTGAGAGGGCTTCTGTCTAGATTTTAGATGATGATATTCCCGTTTCCAACGAAATCATTAGAGCTATCCAAATATCCACTTACAGTTTCTACAAAAAGAGTGTTTCCAAACTGCTGCATCAAAAGAGAGGTTCCACTCTGTTAGCTGAGTATACACATCACAAACTTGTTTCTCAGAATCCTTCTGTCTCGTTTTTATGGGAAGATATTTACTTTCTCACCGTAGGCATCAAAGCGCTCCAAATGTCCACATCCAGATACTCCAGAAAGAGTGTTTCAAACGTGCTCTATGAAAGGGAATCTTCAACTCTATGAGTTGAATGCAGACATCAGAAAGAAATTTCTGAGAATGCTCTGCTGTCTACCTTTTATTTGAATTCCCGCTTCCAACGAAATCCTCCAAGCTATCCAAATATCCACTTGCAGATTCCACAAAAAGAGTGTTTCAAAACTGCTCTCTATCAATGGCAAAGTTCAACTCTGTTAGTTGAGGACACATATCACCAACAAGTTTCTGAGAATGCTGCTGTCTACCTTTTATTTGAATTCCCGCTTCCAACGAAATCCTCCAGGCTATCCAAATATCCCCTTGCAGATTCCACAAAAAGAGTGTTTCAAAACTGCTCTATCAATGGCAAGGTTCAACTCTGTCAGTTGAGGATACACATCACAAACAAGTTTCTGAGATTTCTGCTGTCTAGTTTTTATATGAATTCCCGCTTCCAACGAAATCCTCAAAGCAATCCAAATATCCACTTGCAGAATCCACAAAAAGAGTGTTTCAAAACTGCTCTATCAATAGAAAGGTTCAACTCTTTTAGTTGAGGTACACACATCACAAACAAGTTTCTGAGAATGCTTCTGTCTAGTTTTTATGGGATGACATTTCCTTTTTCACCAAAGGCATCAAAGAGCTCCAAATGTCCAATTCCAGATACTACAAAAAGAGTGTTTCAAAAGTGCTCTAAGAAAGCGAATGTTCAACTCTATGACTTGAATGCAGATATCAAAAAGTAGTTTCTGAGAGTGCTTCTGTCTAGATTTTAGATAATGATATTCCCGTTTCCAACAAAATCGTTAGAGCTATCCAAATATCCACTTACAGTTTCTACAAAAAGAGCGTTTCCAAACTGCTGCATCAAAAGAAAGGTTCAACTCTGTTAGTTGAGGACACACATCACAAAGAAGTTTGTGAGAATGCTTCTGTCTAGATTTTGTATGACCATATTCCCTTTTCCAACGATATCATTAAAGCAATCTAAATATCAATTTGCAGAATCCACAAAAATAGAGTTTCAAAGCTGCTCTGTAAAAAGAAAGGTTCCACTCTGTTAGCTGAGTACACACATCACAAACTTGTTTCTGAGAATCCTGCTGTCTACCTTTTATTTGAATTCCCGCTTCCAACGAAATCCTCCAAGCTATCCAAATATCCACCTGCATTTTCCACAAAAAGAGCGTTTCAAAACTGCTCTATCAATAGAAATGTTCAACTCCTTTGGCTGGGTACACACATCACAAACAAGTTTCTGAGAATGCTTCTGTCTAGTTTTTATGGGAAGACATTCCCTTTTTCACCAAAGGCATCAAAGCGCTCCAAATGTCCACTTCCAGACACTACAAAAAGAGTGTTTCAAACGTGCTCTAAGAAACCGAATGTTCAACTCTGTGAGTTGAATGCAGATATCACAAAGTAGTTTCTGAGAGGGCTTCTGTCTAGATTTTAGATGATGATATTCCCTTTTCCAACGAAATCATTAGAGCTATCCAAATATCCACTTACAGTTTCTACAAAAAGAGTGTTTCCAAACTGCTGAATCAAAACAGAGGTTCCACTCTGTTAGCTGAGTACACACATCACAAACTTGTTTCTCAGAATCCTTCTGTCTCGTTTTTATGGGAAGATATTTACTTTTTCACCGTAGGCATCAAAGCGCTCCAAATGTCCACATCCAGATACTCCACAAAGAGTGTTTCAAACCTGCTCTATGAAAGGGAATCTTCAACTCTATGAGTTGAATGCAGACATCAGAAAGAAATTTCCTGAGAATGCTGCTGTCTACCTTTTATTTGAATTCCCGCTTCCAACGAAATCCTCCAAGCTATCCAAATATCCACTTGCAGATTCCACAAAAAGAGTGTTTCAAAACTGCTCTCTATCAATGGCAAAGTTCAACTCTGTTAGTTGAGGACACATATCACCAACAAGTTTCTGAGAATGCTTCTGTCTATTTTTTATGGGAAGATATTTCCTTTTTCACCGTAGGCGTCAAGGCGATCGAAATGTCCACTTCCACAAACTACAAAAAGAGTGTTTCAAACCTGCTCTATGAAAGGCCATGTTCATCTCTATGAGTCGAATGGAAATATCCGAAAGAAATTTCTGGGAATGCTGCTGTCTAGTTTTTATACGAATTCCCGCTTCCAACGAAATCCTCAAAGCAATCCAAATATCCACTTGCAGAATCCACAAAAAGAGTGTTTCAAAACTGCTCTATCAATAGAAAGGTTCAACTCTTTTAGTTGAGTACACACATCACAAACAAGTTTCTGAGAATGCTTCTGTCTGGCTTTTATTGGAAGACGTTTCCTTTTCACCAAAGGCATCAAAGCGCTCCAAATGTCCACTTCCAGATTCTTCCAAAAGAGTGTTTCAAACGTGGTCGAAGTAAGGGAATGTTCTACTCTGTGACTTGAATGCAGATATCACCAAGTAGTTTCTAATAGTGCTTCTGTCTAGATTTTAGATGATGATATTCCCGTTTCCAACGAAATCGTTAGAGCTATCCAAATATCCACTTACAGTTTCTACAAAAAGAGTGTTTCCAAACTGCTGCATCAAAAGAAAGGTTCAACTCTGTAAGTTGAGGACACACATCACAAAGAAGTTTGTGAGAATGCTTCTGTCTAGATTTTGTATGACGATATTCCCTTTTCCAACAATATCGTTAAAGCAATCTAAATATCAATTTGCAGAATCCACAAAAATAGAGTTTCAAAGCTGCTCTGTAAAAAGAAAGGTTCCACTCTGTTAGCTGAGTACACACATCACAAACTTGTTTCTGAGAATCCTTCTGTCTCGTTTTTATGGGAAGATATTTACTTTTTCACCGTAGGCATCAAAGCGCTCCAAATGTCCACATCCAGATACTCCAGAAAGAGTGTTTCAAACCTGCTCTATGAAAGGGAATCTTCAACTCTATGAGTTGAATGCAGACATCAGAAAGAAATTTTCTGAGAATGCTGCTGTCTAGTGTTTATACGAATTCCCGCTTCCAACGAAATCTTCAAAGCAATCCAAATATCCACTTGCAGAATCCACAAAAAGAGTGTTTCAAAACTGCGCTATCAAAAGAAATGTTCAACTCCTTTGGCTGGGTACACACATCACAAACAAGTTTCTGAGAATGCTTCTGTCTAGTTTTTATGGGAAGACGTTCCCTTTTTCACCAAAGCCATCAAAGCGCTCCAAATGTCCACTTCCAGACACTACAAAAAGAGTGTTTCAAACGTGCTCTAAGAAAGCGAATGTTCAACTCTGTGACTTGAATGCAGATATCACAAAGTAGTTTCTGAGAGGGCTTCTGTCTAGATTTTAGATGATGATATTCCCGTTTCCAAGGAAATCATTAGAGCTATCCAAATATCCACTTACAGTTTCTACAAAAAGAGTGTTTCCAAACTGCTGCATCAAAAGAGAGGTTCCACTCTGTTAGCTGAGTACACACATCACAAACTTGTTTCTCAGAATCCTTCTGTCTCGTTTTTATGGGAAGATATTTACTTTTTCACCGTAGGCATCAAAGCGCTCCAAATGTCCACATCCAGATACTCCAGAAAGAGTGTTTCAAACCTGCTCTATGAAAGGGAATGTTCAACTCTATGAGTTGAATGCAGACATCAGAAAGAAATTTCTGAGAATGCTGCTGTCTACCTTTTATTTGAATTCCCGCTTCCAACGAAATCCTCCAAGCTATCCAAATATCCACTTGCAGATTCCACAAAAAGAGTGTTTCAAAACTGCTCTCTCAATGGCAAAGTTCAACTCTGTTAGTTGAGGACACATATCACCAACAAGTTTCTGAGAATGCTTCTGTCTATTTTTTATGGGAAGATATTTCCTTTTTCACCGTAGGCGTCAAGGCGATCGAAATGTCCACTTCCACAAACTACAAAAAGAGTGTTTCAAACCTGCTCTATGAAAGGCCATGTTAATCTCTATGAGTTGAATGGAAATATCCGAAAGAAATTTCTGGGAATGCTGCTGTCTAGTTTTTATATGAATTCCCGCTTCCAACGAAATCCTCAAAGCAATCCAAATATCCACTTGCAGAATCCACAAAAAGAGTGTTTCAAAACTGCTCTATCAATAGAAAGGTTCAACTCTTTTAGTTGAGTACACACATCACAAACAAGTTTCTGAGAATGCTTCTGTCTGGCTTTTATTGGAAGACGTTTCCTTTTCACCAAAGGCATCAAAGCGCTCCAAATGTCCACTTCCAGATTCTTCCAAAAGAGTGTTTGAAACGTGCTCAAAGTAAGGGAATGTTCAACTCTGTGACTTGAATGCAGATATCACCAAGTAGTTTCTAATAGTGCTTCTGTCTACATTTTAGATGATGATATTCCCGTTTCCAACGAAATCGTTAGTAGCTATCCAAATATCCAGTTACAGTTTCTACCAAAAGGGTGCTTCCAAATTGCTGCATCAAAAGAAAGGTTCAACTCTGTTAGTTGAGGACACACATCACAAAGAAGTTTGTGAGAATGCTTCTGTCTAGATTTTGTATGACGATATTCCCTTTTCCAACGATATCGTTAAAGCAATCTAAATACCAATTTGCAGAATCCACAAAAATAGAGTTTCAAAGCTGCTCTGTAAAAAGAAAGGTTCCACTCTGTTAGCTGAGTACACACATCACAAACTTGTTTCTCAGAATCCTTCTGTCTCGTTTTTATGGGAAGAGATTTACTTTTCCACCGTAGGCATCAAAGCGCTCCAAATGTCCACATCCAGATACTCCAGAACGAGTGTTTCAAACCTGCTCTATGAAAGGGAATCTTCAACTCTATGAGTTGAATGCAGACATCAGAAAGAAATTTCTGAGAATGCTGCTGTCTACCTTTTATTTGAATTCCCGCTTCCAACGAAATCCTCCAAGCTATCCAAATATCCACTTGCATTTTCCACAACAAGAGTGTTTCAAAACTGCTCTATCAATAGAAATGTTCAACTCCTTTGGCTGGGTACACACATCACAAACAAGTTTCTGAGAATGCTTCTGTCTAGTTTTTATGGGAAGACATTCCCTTTTTCACCAAAGTTATCAAAGCGCTCCAAATGTCCACTTCCAGACACTACAAAAAGAGTGTTTCAAACGTGCTCTAAGAAAGCGAATGTTCAACTCTGTGACTTGAATGCAGATATCACAAAGTAGTTTCTGAGAGTGCTTCTGTCTAGATTTTAGATGATGATATTCCCGTTTCCAACGAAATCATTAGAGCTATCCAAATATCCACTTACAGTTTCTACAAAAAGAGTGTTTCCAAACTGCTGCATCAAAAGAGAGGTTCCACTCTGTTAGCTGAGTACACACATCACAAACTTGTTTCTCAGAATCCTCTGTCTCGTTTTTATGGGAAGATATTTACTTTTTCACCGTAGGCATCAAAGCGCTCCAAATGTCCACATCCAGATACTCCAGAAAGAGTGTTTCAAACCTGCTCTATGAAAGGGAATCTTCAACTCTATGAGTTGAATGCAGACATCAGAAAGAAATTTCTGAGAATGCTGGCTGTCTACCTTTTATTTGAATTCCCGCTTCCAACGAAATCCTCCAAGCTATCCAAATATCCACTTGCAGATTCCACAAAAAGAGTGTTTCAAAACTGCTCTCTATCAATGGCAAAGTTCAACTCTGTTAGTTGAGGACACATATCACCAACAAGTTTCTGAGAATGCTTCTGTCTATTTTTTATGGGAAGATATTTCCTTTTTCACCGTAGGCGTCAAGGCGATCGAAATGTCCACTTCCACAAACTACAAAAAGTGTGTTTCAAACCTGCTCTATGAAAGGCCATGTTCATCTCTATGAGTTGAATGGAAATATCCGAAAGAAATTTCTGGGAATGCTGCTGTCTAGTTTTTATACGAATTCCCGCTTCCAACGAAATCCTCAAAGCAATCCAAATATCCACTTGCAGAATCCACAAAAAGAGTGTTTCAAAACTGCTCTATCAATAGAAAGGTTCAACTCTTTTAGTTGAGTACACACATCACAAAGAAGTTTCTGAGAATGCTTCTGTCTGGCTTTTACTGGAAGACGTTTCCTTTTCACCAAAGGCATCAAAGCGCTCCAAATGTCCACTTCCAGATTCTTCCAAAAGAGTGTTTCAAACGTGCTCAAAGTAAGGGAATGTTCAAATCTGTGACTTGAATGCAGATATCACCAAGTAGTTTCTAATAGTGCTTCTGTCTAGATTTTAGATGATGATATTCCCGTTTCCAATGAAATCGTTAGAGCTATCCAAATATCCACTTACAGTTTCTACAAAAAGAGTGTTTCCAAACTGCTGCATCAAAAGAAAGGTTCAACTCTGTTAGTTGAGGACACACATCACAAAGAAGTTTGTGAGAATGCTTCTGTCCAGATTTTGTATGACGATATTCCCTTTTCCAACGATATCGTTAAAGCAATCTAAATATCCATTTGCAGAATCCACAAAAATAGAGTTTCAAAGCTGCTCTGTAAAAAGAAAAGTTCCACTCTGTTAGCTGAGTACACACATCACAAACTTGTCTCTCAGAATCCTTCTGTCTCGTTTTTATGGGAAGATATTTACTTTTTCACCGTAGGCATCAAAGCGCTCCAAATGTCCACATCCAGATACTCCAGAAAGAGTGTTTCAAACCTGCTCTATGAAAGGGAATCTTCAACTCTATGAGTTGAATGCAGACATCAGAAAGAAATTTCTGAGAATGCTGCTGTCTACCTTTTATTTGAATTGCCGCTTCCAACGAAATCCTCCAAGCTATCCAAATATCCACTTGCATTTTCCACAAAAAGAGTGTTTCAAAACTGCTCTATCAATAGAAATGTTCAACTCCTTTAGCTGGGTACACACATCACAAACAAGTTTCTGAGAATGCTTCTGTCTAGTTTTTATGGGAAGACGTTCCCTTTTTCACCAAAGGCATCAAAGCGCTCCAAATGTCCACTTCCAGACACTACAAAAAGAGTGTTTCAAACGTGCTCTAAGAAAGCGAATGTTCAACTCTGTGACTTGAATGCAGATATCAAAAAGTAGTTTCTGAGAGGGCTTCTGTCTAGATTTTAGATGATGATATTCCCGTTTCCAACGAAATCATTAGAGCTATCCAAATATCCACTTACAGTTTCTACAAAAAGAGTGTTTCCAAACTGCTGCATCAAAAGAGAGGTTCCACTCTGTTAGCTGAGTACACACATCACAAACTTGTTTCTCAGAATCCTTCTGTCTCGTTTTTATGGGAAGATATTTACTTTTACACCGTAGGTATCAAAGCGCTCCAAATGTCCACATCCAGATACTCCAGAAAGAGTGTTTCAAACCTGCTCTATGAAAGGGAATCTTCAACTCTATGAGTTGAATGCAGACATCAGAAAGAAATTTTCTGAGAATGCTGCTGTCTACCTTTTATTTGAATTCCCGCTTCCAACGAAATCCTCCAAGCTATCCAAATATCCACTTGCAGATTCCACAAAAAGAGTGTTTCAAAACTGCTCTCTATCAATGGCAAAGTTCAACTCTGTTAGTTGAGGACACATATCACCAACAAGTTTCTGAGAATGCTTCTGTCTATTTTTTATGGGAAGATATTTCCTTTTTCACCGTAGGCGTCAAGGCGATCGAAATGTCCACTTCCACAAACTACAAAAAGAGTGTTTCAAACCTGCTCTATGAAAGGCCATGTTCATCTCTATGAGTTGAATGGAAATATCCGAAAGAAATTTCTGGGAATGCTGCTGTCTAGTGTTTATACGAATTCCCGCTTTCAACGAAATCCTCAAAGCAATCCAAATATCCACTTGCAGAATCCACAAAAAGAGTGTTTCAAAACTGCTCTATCAATAGAAAGGTTCAACTCTTTTAGTTGAGTACACACATCACGAACAAGTTTCTGAGAATGCTTCTGTCTGGCTTTTATTGGAAGACGTTTCCTTTTCACCAAAGGCATCAAAGCGCTCCAAATGTCCACTTCCAGATTCTTCCAAAAGAGTGTTTGAAACGTGCTCAAAGTAAGGGAATGTTCAACTCTGTGACTTGAATGCAGATATCACCAAGTAGTTTCTAATAGTGCTTCTGTCTAGATTTTAGATGATGATATTCCCGTTTCCAACGAAATCGTTAGAGCTATCCAAATATCCACTTACAGTTTCTACAAAAAGAGTGTTTCCAAACTGCTGCATCCAAAGAAAGGTTCAACTCTGTTAGTTGAGGACACACATCACAAAGAAGTTTGTGAGAATGCTTCTGTCTAGATTTTGTATGACCATATTCCCTTTTCCAGCGATATCATTAAAGCAATCTAAATATCCATTTGCAGAATCCACAAAAATAGAGTTTCAAAGCTGCTCTGTAAAAAGAAAGGTTCCACTCTGTTAGCTGAGTACACACATCACAAACTTGTTTCTCAGAATCCTTCTGTCTCGTTTTTATGGGAAGATATTTACTTTTTCACCGTAGGCATCAAAGCGCTCCAAATGTCCACATCCAGATACTCCAGAAAGAGTGTTTCAAACCTGCTCTATGAAAGGGAATCTTCAACTCTATGAGTTGAATGCAGACATTAGAAAGAAATTTCTGAGAATGCTGCTGTCTACCTTTTATTTGAATTCCCGCTTCCAACGAAATCCTCCAAGCTATCCAAATATCCACCTGCATTTTCCACAACAAGAGTGTTTCAAAACTGCTCTATCAATAGAAATGTTCAACTCCTTTGGCTGGGTACACACATCACAAACAAGTTTCTGAGAATGCTTCTGTCTAGTTTTTATGGGAAGACGTTCCCTTTTTCACCAAAGGCATCAAAGCGCTCCAAATGTCCACTTCCAGACACTACAAAAAGAGTGTTTCCAACGTGCCCTAAGAAAGCGAATGTTCAACTACTGTGACTTGAATGCAGATATCACAAAGTAGTTTCTGAGAGGGCTTCTGTCTAGATTTTAGATGATGATATTCCCGTTTCCAACGGAATCATTAGAGCTATCCAAATATCCACTTACAGTTTCTACAAAAAGAGTGTTTCCAAACTGCTGCATCAAAAGAGAGGTTCCACTCTGTTAGCTGAGTACACACATCACAAACTTGTTTCTGAGAATCCTTCTGTCTCGCTTTTTATGGGAAGATATTTACTTTTTCACCGTAGGCATCAAAGCGCTCCAAATGTCCACATCCAGATACTCCAGAAAGAGTGTTTCAAACCTGCTCTATGAAAGGGAATGTTCAACTCTATGAGTTGAATGCAGACATCAGAAAGAAATTTCTGAGAATGCTGCTGTCTACCTTTTATTTGAATTCCCGCTTCCAACGAAATCCTCCAAGCTATCCAAATATCCACTTGCAGATTCCACAAAAAGAGTGTTTCAAAACTGCTCTCTATCAATGGCAAAGTTCAACTCTGTTAGTTGAGGACACATATCACCAACAAGTTTCTGAGAATGCTTCTGTCTATTTTTTATGGGAAGATATTTCCTTTTTCACCGTAGGCGTCAAGGCGATCGAAACGTCCACTTCCACAAACTACAAAAAGAGTGTTTCAAACCTGCTCTATGAAAGGCCATGTTCATCTCTATGAGTTGAATGGAAATATCCGAAAGAAATTTCTGGGAATGCTGCTGTCTAGTTTTTATATGAATTCCCGCTTCCAACGAAATCCTCAAAGCAATCCAAATATCCACTTGCAGAATCCACAAAAAGAGTGTTTCAAAACTGCGCTATCAATAGAAAGGTTCAACTCTTTTAGTTGAGTACACATATCACGAACAAGTTTCTGAGAATGCTTCTGTCTGGCTTTTATTGGAAGACGTTTCCTTTTCACCAAAGGCATCAAAGCGCTCCAAATGTCCACTTCCAGATTCTTCCAAAAGAGTGTTTCAAACGTGCTCGAAGTAAGGGAATGTTCTACTCTGTGACTTGAATGCAGATATCACCAAGTAGTTTCTAATAGTGCTTCTGTCTACCTTTTGATGATGATATTCCCGTTTCCAACGAAATCGTTAGAGCTATCCAAATATCCAGTTACAGTTTCTACCAAAAGGGTGTTTCCAAATTGCTGCATCAAAAGAAAGGTTCAACTCTGTTAGTTGAGGACACACATCACAAAGAAGTTTGTGAGAATGCTTCTGTCTAGATTTTGTATGACGATATTCCCTTTTCCAACGATATCGTTAAAGCAATCTAAATATCAATTTGCAGAATCCACAAAAATAGAGTTTCAAAGCTGCTCTGTAAAAAGAAAGGTTCCACTCTGTTAGCTGAGTACACACATCACAAACTTGTTTCTGAGAATCTTTCTGTCTCGTTTTTATGGGAAGATATTTACTTTTCCACCGTAGGCATCAAAGCGCTCCAAATGTCCACATCCAGATACTCCAGAACGAGTGTTTCAAACCTGCTCTATGAAAGGGAATCTTCAACTCTATGAGTTGAATGCAGACATCAGAAAGAAATTTCTCAGAATGCTGCTGTCTACCTTTTATTTGAATTAACGCTTCCAACGAAATCCTCCAAGCTATCCAAATATCCACCTGCATTTTCCACAACAAGTGTTTCAAAACTGCTCTATCAATAGAAATGTTCAACTCCTTTGGCTGGGTACACACATCACAAACAAGTTTCTGAGAATGCTTCTGTCTAGTTTTTATGGGAAGACGTTCCCTTTTTCACCAAAGGCATCAAAGCGCTCCAAATGTCCACTTCCATACACTACAAAAAGAGTGTTTCAAACGTGCTCTAAGAAAGCGAATGTTCAACCCTGTGACTTGAATGCAGATATCACAAAGTAGTTTCTGAGAGGGCTTCTGTCTAGATTTTAGATGATGATATTCCCGTTTCCAACGAAATCATTAGAGCTATCCAAATATCCACTTACAGTTTCTACAAAAAGAGTGTTTCCAAACTGCTGCATCAAAAGAGAGGTTCCACTCTGTTAGCTGAGTACACACATCACAAACTTGTTTCTCAGAATCCTTCTGTCTCGTTTTTATGGGAAGATTATACTTTTTCACCGTAGGCATCAAAGCGCTCCAAATGTCCACATCCAGATACTCCAGAAAGAGTGTTTCAAACCTGCTCTATGAAAGGGAATCTTCAACTCTATGAGTTGAATGCAGACATCAGAAAGAAATTTGCTGAGAATGCTGCTGTCTACCTTTTATGTGAATTCCCGCTTCCAACGAAATCCTCCAAGCTATCCAAATATCCACTTGCAGATTCCACAAAAAGAGTGTTTCAAAACTGCTCTCTATCAATGGCAAAGTTCAACTCTGTTAGTTGAGGACACATATCACCAACAAGTTTCTGAGAATGCTTCTGTCTATTTTTTATGGGAAGATATTTCCTTTTTCACCGTAGGCGTCAAGGCGATCGAAATGTCCACTTCCACAAACTACAAAAAGAGTGTTTCAAACCTGCTCTATGAAAGGCCATGTTCATCTCTATGAGTTGAATGGAAATATCAGAAAGAAATTTCTGGGAATGCTGCTGTCTAGTTTTTATACGAATTCCCGCTTCCAACGAAATCCTCAAAGCAATCCAAATATCCACTTGCAGAATCCACAAAAAGAGTGTTTCAAAACTGCTCTATCAATAGAAAGGTTCAACTCTTTTAGTTGAGTACACACATCACAAACAAGTTTCTGAGAATGCTTCGGTCTGGCTTTTATTGGAAGACGTTTCCTTTTCACCAAAGGCATCAAAGCGCTCCAAATGTCCACTTCCAGATTCTTCCAAAAGAGTGTTTGAAACGTGCTCAAAGTAAGGGAATGTTCAACTCTGTGACTTGAATGCAGATATCACCAAGTAGTTTCTAATAGTGCTTCTGTCTAGATTTTAGATGATGATATTCCCGTTTCCAACGAAATCGTTAGAGCTATCCAAATATCCACTTACAGTTGCTACAAAAACAGTGTTTCCAAACTGCTGCATCAAAAGAAAGGTTCAACTCTGTTAGTTGAGGTCACACGTCACAAAGAAGTTTGTGAGAATGCTTCTGTCTAGATTTTGTATGACCATATTCCCTTTTCCAGCGATATCATTAAAGCAATCTAAATATCCATTTGCAGAATCCACAAAAATAGAGTTTCAAAGCTGCTCTGTAAAAAGAAAGGTTCCACTCTGTTAGCTGAGTACACACATCACAAACTTGTTTCTCAGAATCCTTCTGTGTCGTTTTTATGGGAAGATATTTACTTTTCCACCGTAGGCATCAAAGCGCTCCAAATGTCCACATCCAGATACTCCAGAACGAGTGTTTCAAACCTGCTCTATGAAAGGGAATCTTCAACTCTATGAGTTGAATGCAGACATCAGAAAGAAATTTCTGAGAATGCTGCTGTCTACCTTTTATTTGAATTCCCGCTTCCAACGAAATCCTCCAAGCTATCCAAATATCCACCTGCATTTTCCACAACAAGAGTGTTTCAAAACTGCTCTATCAATAGAAATGTTCAACTCCTTTGGCTGGGTACACACATCACAAACAAGTTTCTGAGAATGCTTCTGTCTAGTTTTTATGGGAAGACATTCCCTTTTTCACCAAAGGCATCAAAGCGCTCCAAATGTCCACTTCCAGACACTACAAAAAGTGTGTTTCCAACGTGCTCTAAGAAAGCGAATGTTCAACTCTGTGACTTGAATGCAGATATCACAAAGTAGTTTCTGAGAGGGCTTCTGTCTAGATTTTAGATGATGATATTCCCGTTTCCAACGAAATCATTAGAGCTATCCAAATATCCACTTACAGTTTCCACAAAAAGAGTGTTTCCAAACTGCTGCTTCAAAAGAGAGGTTCCACTCTGTTAGCTGAGTACACACATCACAAACTTGTTTCTCAGAATCCTTCAGTCTCGTTTTTATGGGAAGATATTTACTTTTTCACCGTAGGCATCAAAGCGCTCCAAATGTCCACATCCAGATACTCCAGAAAGAGTGTTTCAAACCTGCTCTATGAAAGGGAATCTTCAACTCTATGAGTTGAATGCAGACATCAGAAAGAAATTTCTGAGAATGCTGCTGTCTACCTTTTATTTGAATTCCCGCTTCCAACGAAATCCTCCAAGCTATCCAAATATCCACTTGCAGATTCCACAAAAAGAGTGTTTCAAAACTGCTCTCTATCAATGGCAAAGTTCAACTCTGTTAGTTGAGGACACATATCACCAACAAGTTTCTGAGAATGCTTCTGTCTATTTTTTATGGGAAGATATTTCCTTTTTCACCGTAGGCGTCAAGGCGATCGAAATGTCCACTTCCACAAACTACAAAAAGAGTGTTTCAAACCTGCTCTATGAAAGGCGATGTTCATCTCTATGAGTTGAATGGAAATATCCGAAAGAAATTTCTGGGAATGCTGCTGTCTAGTGTTTATACGAATTCCCGCTTCCAACGAAATCCTCAAAGCAATCCAAATATCCACTTGCAGAATCCACAAAAAGAGTGTTTCAAAACTGCTCTATCAATAGAAAGGTTCAACTCTTTTAGTTGAGTACACACATCACAAACAAGTTTCTGAGAATGCTTCTGTCTGGCTTTTATTGGAAGACGTTTCCTTTTCACCAAAGGCATCAAAGCGCTCCAAATGTCCACTTCCAGACACTACAAAAAGAGTGTTTCAAACGTGCTCTAAGAAAGCAAATGTTGAACTCTGTGACTTGAATGCAGATATCACAAAGTAGTTTCTGAGAGTGCTTCTGTCTAGATTTTAGATGATGATATTCCCGTTTCCAACGAAATCGTTAGAGCTATCCAAATATCCACTTACAGTTGCTACAAAAACAGTGTTTCCAAACTGCTGCATCAAAAGAAAGGTTCAACTCTGTTAGTTGAGGACACACGTCACAAAGAAGTTTGTGAGAATGCTTCTGTCTAGATTTTGTATGACGATATTCCCTTTTCCAACGATATCGTTAAAGCAATCTAAATATCAATTTGCAGAATCCACAAAAATAGAGTTTCAAAGCTGCTCTGTAAAAAGAAAGGTTCCACTCTGTTAGCTGAGTACACACATCACAAACTTGTTTCTGAGAATCCTTCTGTCTCGTTTTTATGGGAAGATATTTACTTTTCCACCATAGGCATCAAAGCGCTCCAAATGTCCACATCCAGATACTCCAGAACGAGTGTTTCAAACCTGCTCTATGAAAGGGAATCTTCAACTCTATGAGTTGAATGCAGACATCAGAAAGAAATTTCTGAGAATGCTGCTGTCTACCTTTTATTTGAATTCCCCCTTCCAACGAAATCCTCCAAGCTATCCAAATATCCACCTGCATTTTCCACAACAAGAGTGTTTCAAAACTGCTCTATCAATAGAAATGTTCAACTCCTTTGGCTGGGTACACACATCACAAACAAGTTTCTGAGAATGCTTCTGTCTAGTTTTTATGGGAAGACGTTCCCTTTTTCACCAAAGGCATCAAAGCGCTCCAAATGTCCACTTCCAGACACTACAAAAAGAGTGTTTCCAACGTGCTCTAAGAAAGCGAATGTTCAACTCTGTGACTTGAATGCACATATCACAAAGTAGTTTCTGAGAGGGCTTCTGTCTAGATTTTAGATGATGATAATCCCGTTTCCAACAAAATCATTAGAGCTTCCAAATATCCACTTACAGTTTCTACAAAAAGAGTGTTTCCAAACTGCTGCATCAAAAGAGAGGTTCCACTCTGTTAGCTGAGTACACACATCACAAATTTGTTTCTCAGAATCCTTCTGTCTCGTTTTTATGGGAAGATATTTACTTTTTCACCGTAGGCATCAAAGCTCTCCAAATGTCCACATCCAGATACTCCAGAAAGAGTGTTTCAAACCTGCTCTATGAAAGGGAATCTTCAACTCTATGAGTTGAATGCAGACATCAGAAAGAAATTTCTGAGAATGCTGTTGTCTACCTTTTATTTGAATTCCCGCTTCCAACGAAATCCTCCAAGCTATCCAAATATCCACTTGCAGATTCCACAAAAAGAGTGTTTCAAAACTGCTCTCTATCAATGGCAAAGTTCAACTCTGTTAGTTGAGGACACATATCACCAACAAGTTTCTGAGAATGCTTCTGTCTATTTTTTATGGGAAGATATTTCCTTTTTCACCGTAGGCGTCAAGGCGATCGAAATGTCCACTTCCACAAACTACAAAAAGAGTGTTTCAAACCTGCTCTATGAAAGGCCATGTTCATCTCTATGAGTCGAATGGAAATATCCGAAAGAAATTTCTGGGAATGCTGCTGTCTAGTGTTTATACGAATTCCCGCTTCCAATGAAATCCTCAAAGCAATCCAAATATCCACTTGCAGAATCCACAAAAAGAGTGTTTCAAAACTGCTCTATCAATAGAAAGGTTCAACTCTTTTAGTTGAGTACACACATCACGAACAAGTTTCTGAGAATGCTTCTCTCTGGCTTTTATTGGAAGACGTTTCCTTTTCACCAAAGGCATCAAAGCGCTCCAAATGTCCACTTCCAGATTCTTCCAAAAGAGCGTTTCAAACGTGGTCGAAGTAAGGGAATGTTCAACTCTGTGACTTGAATGCAGATATCACCAAGTAGTTTCTAATAGTGCTTCTGTTTAGATTTTAGATGATGATATTCCCGTTTCCAACGAAATCGTTAGAGCTATCCAAATATCCACTTACAGTTTCTACAAAAAGAGTGTTTCCAAACTGCTGCATCAAAAGAAAGGTTCAACTCTGTTAGTTGAGGACACACATCACAAAGAAGTTTGTGAGAATGCTTCTGTCTAGATTTTGTATGACGATATTCCCTTTTCCAACGATATCGTTAAAGCAATCTAAATATCAATTTGCAGAATCCACAAAAATAGAGTTTCAAAGCTGCTCTGTAAAAAGAAAGGTTCCACTCTGTTAGCTGAGTACACACATCACAAACTTGTTTCTGAGAATCCTTCTGTCTCGTTTTTATGGGAAGATATTTACTTTTCCACCGTAGGCATCAAAGCGCTCCAAATGTCCACATCCAGATACTCCAGAACGAGTGTTTCAAACCTGCTCTATGGAAGGGAATCTTCAACTCTATGAGTTGAATGCAGACATCAGAAAGAAATTTCTGAGAATGCTGCTGTCTACCTTTTATTTGAATTCCCGCTTCCAACGAAATCCTCCAAGCTATCCAAATATCCACCTGCATTTTCCACAAAAAGAGTGTTTCAAAACTGCTCTATCAATAGAAATGTTCAACTCCTTTGGCTGGGTACACACATCACAAACAAGTTTCTGAGAATGCTTCTGTCTAGTTTTTATGGGAAGACATTCCCTTTTTCACCAAAGGCATCAAAGCGCTCCAAATGTCCACTTCCAGACACTACAAAAAGAGTGTTTCAAACGTGCTCTAAGAAAACGAATGTTCAACTCTGTGACTTGAATGCAGATATCACAGAGTAGTTTCTGAGAGGGCTTCTCTCTAGATTTTAGATGATGATATTCCCGTTTCCAACGAAATCATTAGAGCTATCCAAATATCCCCTTACAGTTTCTACAAAAAGAGTGTTTCCAAACTACTGCATCAAAAGAGAGGTTCCACTCTGTTAGCTGAGTACACACATCACAAACTTGTTTCTCAGAATCCTTCTGTCTCGTTTTTATGGGAAGATATTTACTTTTTCACCGTAGGCATCAAAGCGCTCCAAATGTCCACATCCAGATACTACAGAAAGAGTATTTCAAACCTGCCCTATGAAAGGGAATGTTCAACTCTATGAGTTGAATGCAGAGATCAGAAAGAAATTTCTGAGAATGCTGCTGTCTACCTTTTATTTGAATTCCCGCTTCCAACGAAATCCTCCAAACTATCCAAATATCCACTTGCAGATTCAGGAAAAAGAGTGTTTCAAAACTGCTCTCTATCAATGGCAAAGTTCAACTCTGTTAGTTGAGGACACATATCACCAACAAGTTTCTGAGAATGTTTCTATTTTTTATGGGAAGATATTTACTTTTTCACCGTAGGCGTCAAGGCGATCGAAATGTCCACTTCCACAAACTACAAAAAGAGTGTTTCAAACCTGCTCTATGAAAGGCCATGTTCATCTCTATGAGTTGAATGGAAATATCCGAAAGAAATTTCTGGGAATGCTGCTGTCTAGTTGTTATACGAATTCCCGCTTCCAACGAAATCCTCAAAGCAATCCAAATATCCACTTGCAGAATCCACAAAAAGAGTGTTTCAAAACTGCTCTATCAATAGAAAGGTTCAACTCTTTTAGTTGAGTACACACATCACAAACAAGTTTCTGAGAATGCTTCTGTCTGGCTTTTATTGGAAGACGTTTCCTTTTCACCAAAGGCATCAAAGCGCTCCAAATGTCCACTTCCAGATTCTTCCAAAAGAGTGTTTCAAACGTGCTCGAAGTAAGGGAATGTTCTACTCTGTGACTTGAATGCAGATATCACCAAGTAGTTTCTAATAGTGCTTCTGTCTAGATTTTAGATGATGATATTCCCGTTTCCAACGAAATCGTTAGAGCTATCCAAATATCCAGTTACAGTTTCTACCAAAAGGGTGTTTCCAAATTGCTGCATCAAAAGAAAGGTTCAACTCTGTTAGTTGAGGAAACACATCACAAAGAAGTTTGTGAGAATGCTTCTGTCCAGTATTTTGTATGACGATATTCCCTTTTCCAACGATATCGTTAAAGCAATCTAAATATCCATTTGCAGAATCCACAAAAATAGAGTTTCAAAGCTGCTCTGTAAAAAGAAAGGTTCCACTCTGTTAGCTGAGTACACACATCACAAACTTGTTTCTGAGAATCCTTCTGTCTCGTTTTTATGGGAAGATATTTACTTTTTCACCGTAGGCATCAAAGCGCTCCAAATGTCCACATCCAGAAACTCCAGAAAGACTGTTTCAAACCTGCTCTATGAAAGGGAATCTTCAACTCTATGAGTTGAATGCAGACATCAGAAAGAAATTTCTGAGAATGCTGCTGTCTACCTTTTATTTGAATTCCCGCTTCCAACGAAATCCTCCAAGCTATCCAAATATCCACTTGCATTTTCCACAACAAGAGTGTTTCAAAACTGCTCTATCAATAGAAATGTTCAACTCCTTTGGCTGGGTACACACATCACAAACAAGTTTCTGAGAATGCTTCTGCCTAGTTTTTATGGGAAGACATTCCCTTTTTCACCAAAGGCATCAAAGCGCTCCAAATGTCCACTTCCAGCCACTACAAAAAGAGTGTTTCAAACGTGCTCTAAGAAAGCGAATGTTCAACTCTGTGACTTGAATGCAGATATCACAAAGTAGTTTCTGAGAGTGCTTCTGTCTAGATTTTAGATGATGATATTCCCGTTTCCAACGAAATCATTAGAGCTATCCAAATATCCACTTACAGTTTCTACAAAAAGAGTGTTTCCAAACTGCTGCATCAAAAGAGAGGTTCCACTCTTTTAGCTGAGTACACACATCACAAACTTGTTTCTGAGAATCCTTCTGTCTCGTTTTTATGGGAAGATATTTACTTTTTCACCGTAGGCATCAAAGCGCTCCAAATGTCCACATCCAGATACTCCAGAAAGAGTGTTTCAAACCTGCTCTATGAAAGGGAATGTTCAACTCTATGAGTTGAATGCAGACATCAGAAAGAAATTTCTGAGAATGCGGCTGTCTACCTTTTATTTGAATTCCCGCTTCCAACGAAATCCTCCAAGCTATCCAAATATCCACTTGCAGATTCCACAAAAAGAGTGTTTCAAAACTGCTCTCTATCAATGGCAAAGTTCAACTCTGTTAGTTGAGGACACATATCACCAACAAGTTTCTGAGAATGCTTCTGTCTATTTTTTATGGGAAGATATTTCCTTTTTCACTGTAGGCGTCAAGGCGATCGAAATGTCCACTTCCACAAACTACAAAAAGAGTGTTTCAAACCTGCTCTATGAAAGGCCATGTTCATCTCTATGAGTTGAATGGAAATATCCGAAAGAAATTTCTGGGAATGCTGCTGTCTAGTTGTTATACGAATTACCGCTTCCAACGAAATCCTCAAAGCAATCCAAATATCCACTTGCAGAATCCACAGAAAGAGTGTTTCAAAACTGCTCTATCAATAGAAAGGTTCAACTCTTTTAGTTGAGTACACACGTCAAGAACAAGTTTCTGAGAATGCTTCTGTCTGGCTTTTATTGGAAGACGTTTCCTTTTCACCAAAGGCATCAAAGCGCTCCAAATGTCCACTTCCAGATTCTTCCAAAAGAGTGTTTGAAACGTGCTCAAAGTAAGGGAATGTTCAACTCTGTGACTTGAATGCAGATATCACCAAGTAGTTTCTAATAGTGCTTCTGTCTAGATTTTAGATGATGATATTCCCGTTTCCAACGAAATCGTTAGAGTTATCCAAATATCCACTTACAGTTTCTACAAAAAGAGTGTTTCCAAACTGCTGCATCAAAAGAAAGGTTCAACTCTGTTAGTTGAGGACACACATCACAAAGAAGTTTGTGAGAATGCTTCTGTCTAGATTTTGTATGACGATATTCCCTTTTCCAACGATATCGTTAAAGCAATCTAAATATCAATTTGCAGAATCCACAAAAATAGAGTTTCAAAGCTGCTCTGTAAAAAGAAAGGTTCCACTCTGTTAGCTGAGTACACACATCACAAACTTGTTTCTCAGAATCCTTCTGTCTCGTTTTTATGGGAAGATATTTACTTTTTCACCGTAGGCATCAAAGCCCTCCAAATGTCCACATCCAGATACTCCAGAAAGAGTGTTTCAAACCTGCTCTATGAAAGGGAATCTTCAACTCTATGAGTTGAATGCAGACATCAGAAAGAAATTTCTGAGAATGCTGCTGTCTACCTTTTATTTGAATTCCCGCTTCCAACGAAATCCTCCAAGCTATCCAAATATCCACTTGCATTTTCCACAAAAAGAGTGTTTCAAAACTGCTCTATCAATAGAAATGTTCAACTCCTTTAGCTGGGTACACACATCACAAACAAGTTTCTGAGAATGCTTCTGTCTAGTTTTTATGGGAAGACGTTCCCTTTTTCACCAAAGGCATCAAAGCGCTCCAAGTGTCCACTTCCAGACACTACAAAAAGAGTGTTTCCAACGTGCTCTAAGAAAGCGAATGTTCAACTCTGTGACTTGAATGCAGATATCACAAAGTAGTTTCTGAGAGTGCTTCTGTCTAGATTTTAGATGATGATATTCCCGTTTCCAACGAAATCATTAGAGCTATCCAAATATCCACTTACAATTTCTACAAAAAGAGTGTTTCCAAACTGCTGCATCAAAAGAGAGGTTCCACTCTGTTAGCTGAGTACACACATCACAAACTTGTTTCTCAGAATCCTTCTGTCTCGTTTTTATGGGAAGATATTTACTTTTTCACCGTAGGCATCAAAGCGCTCCAAATGTCCACATCCAGATACTACAGAAAGAGTATTTCAAACCTGCCCTATGAAAGGGAATGTTCAACTCTATGAGTTGAATGCAGAGATCAGAAAGAAATTTCTGAGAATGCTGCTGTCTACCTTTTATTTGAATTCCCGCTTCCAACGAAATCCTCCAAGCTATCCAAATATCCACTTGCAGATTCCACAAAAAGAGTGTTTCAAAACTGCTCTCTATCAATAGCAAAGTTCAACTCTGTTAGTTGAGGACACATATCGCCAACAAGTTTCTGAGAATGCTTCTGTCTATTTTTTATGGGTAGATATTCCCTTTTTCACCGTAGGCGTCAAGGCGATCGAAATGTCCACTTCCACAAACTACAAAAAGAGTGTTTCAAACCTGTTCTATGAAAGGCCATGTTCATCTCTATGAGTTGAATGGAAATATCCGAAAGAAATTTCTGGGAATGCTGCTGTCTAGTGTTTATACGAATTCCCGCTTCCAACAAAATCCTCAAAGCAATCCAAATATCCACTTGCAGAATCCACAAAAAGAGTGTTTCAAAACTGCTCTATCAATAGAAAGGTTCAACTCTTTTAGTTGAGTACACACATCACGAACAAGTTTCTGAGAATGCTTCTGTCTGGCTTTTATTGGAAGACGTTTCCTTTTCACCAAAGGCATCAAAGCGCTCCAAATGTCCACTTCCAGATTCTTCCAAAAGAGTGTTTCAAACGTGCTCAAAGTAAGGGAATGTTCAACTCTGTCACTTGAATGCAGATATCACCAAGTAGTTTCTAATAGTGCTTCTGTCTAGATTTTAGATGATGATATTCCCGTTTCCAACGAAATCGTTAGAGCTATCCAAATATCCACTTACAGTTTCTACCAAAAGGGTGTTTCCAAATTGCTGCATCAAAAGAAAGGTTCAACTCTGTTAGTTGAGGACACACATCACAAAGAAGTTTGTGAGAATGCTTCTGTCTAGATTTTGTATGACGGTATTCCCTTTTCCAACGATATCGTTAAAGCAATCTAAATATCAATTTGCAGAATCCACAACAATAGAGTTTCAAAGCTGCTCTGTAAAAAGAAAGGTTCCACTCTGTTAGCTGAGTACACACATCACAAACTTGTTTCTGAGAATCCTTCTGTCTCGTTTTTATGGGAAGATATTTACTTTTTCACCGTAGGCATCAAAGCGCTCCAAATGTCCACATCCAGATACTCCAGAAAGAGTGTTTCAAACCTGCTCTATGAAAGGGAATCTTCAACTCTATGAGTTGAATGCAGACATCAGAAAGTAATTTCTGAGAATGCTGCTGTCTACCTTTTATTTGAATTCCCGCTTCCAACGAAATCCTCCAAGCTATCCAAATATCCACCTGCATTTTCCACAAAAAGAGTGTTTCAAACCTGCTCTATCAATAGAAATGTTCAACTCCTTTGGCTGGGTACACACATCACAAACAAGTTTCTGAGAATGCTTCTGTCTAGTTTTTATGGGTAGACGTTCCCTTTTTCACCAAAGGAATCAAAGCGCTCCAAATGTCCACTTCCAGACACTACAAAAAGAGTGTTTCCAACGTGCTCTAAGAAAGCGAATGTTCAACTCTGTGACTTGAATGCAGATATCACAAAGTAGTTTCTGAGAGGGCTTCTGTCTAGATTTTAGATGATGATATTCCCGTTTCCAACGAAATCATTAGAGCTATCCAAATATCCACTTACAGTTTCTACAAAAAGAGTGTTTCCAAACTGCTGCATCAAAAGAGAGGTTCCACTCTGTTAGCTGAGTACACACATCACAAACTTGTTTCTCAGAATCCTTCTGTCTCGTTTTTATGGGAAGATATTTACTTTTTCACCGTAGGCATCAAAGCGCTCCAAATGTCCACATCCAGATACTCCACAAAGAGTGTTTCAAACCTGCTCTATGAAAGGGAATCTTCAACTCTATGAGTTGATTGCAGACATCAGAAAGAAATTTCTGAGAATGCTGCTGTCTACCTTTTATTTGAATTCCCGCTTCCAACGAAATCCTCCAAGCTATCCAAATATCCACTTGCAGATTCCACAAAAAGAGTGTTTCAAAACTGCTCTCTATCAATGGCAAAGTTCAACTCTGTTAGTTGAGGACACATATCACCAACAAGTTTCTGAGAATGCTCTGTCTATTTTTTATGGGAAGATATTTCCTTTTTCACCGTAGGCGTCAAGGCGATCGAAATGTCCACTTCCACAAACTACAAAAAGAGTGTTTCAAACCTGCTCTATGAAAGGCCATGTTCATCTCTATGAGTCGAATGGAAATATCCGAAAGAAATTTCTGGGAATGCTGGCTGTCTAGTGTTTATACGAATTCCCGCTTCCGATGAAATCCTCAAAGCAATCCAAATATCCACTTGCAGAATCCACAAAAAGAGTGTTTCAAAACTGCTCTATCAATAGAAAGGTTCAACTCTTTTAGTTGAGTACACACATCACGAACAAGTTTCTGAGAATGCTTCTGTCTGGCTTTTATTGGAAGACGTTTCCTTTTCACCAAAGGCATCAAAGCGCTCCAAATGTCCACTTCCAGATTCTTCCAAAAGAGTGTTTGAAACGTGCCCAAAGTAAGGGAATGTTCAACTCTGTGACTTGAATGCAGATATCACCAAGTAGTTTCTAATAGTGCTTCTGTCTAGATTTTAGATGATGATATTCCCGTTTCCAACGAAATCGTTAGAGCTATCCAAATATCCACTTACAGTTTCTACAAAAAGAGTGTCTCCAAACTGCTGCATCAAAAGAAAGGTTCAACTCTGTTAGTTGAGGACACACATCACAAAGAAGTTTGTGAGAATGCTTCTGTCTAGATTTTGTATGACGGTATTCCCTTTTCCAACGATATCGTTAAAGCAATCTAAATATCAATTTGCAGAATTCACAAAAATAGAGTTTCAAAGCTGCTCTGTAAAAAGAAAGGTTCCACTCTGTTAGCTGAGTACACACATCACAAACTTGTTTCTGAGAATCCTTCTGTCTCGTTTTTATGGGAAGATATTTACTTTTCCACCGTAGGCATCAAAGCGCTCCAAATGTCCACATCCAGATACTCCAGAACGAGTGTTTCAAACCTGCTCTATGAAAGGGAATCTTCAACTCTATGAGTTGAATGCAGACATCAGAAAGAAATTTCTGAGAATGCTGCTGTCTACCTTTTATTTGAATTCCCGCTTCCAACGAAATCCTCCCAGCTATCCAAATATCCACCTGCATTTTCCACAACAAGAGTGTTTCAAAACTGCTCTATCAATAGAAATTTTCAACTCCTTTGGCTGGGTACACACATCACAAACAAGTTTCTGAGAATGCTTCTGTCTAGTTTTTATGGGAAGACATTCCCTTTTTCACCAAAGGCATCAAAGCGCTCCAAATGTCCACTTCCAGACACTACAAAAAGAGTGTTTCCAACGTGCTCTAAGAAAGCGAATGTTCAACTCCTGTGACTTGAATGCAGATATCACAAAGTAGTTTCTAATAGTGCTTCTGTCTAGATTTTAGATGATGATATTCCCGTTTCCAACGAAATCATTAGAGCTATCCAAATATCCACTTACAGTTTCTACAAAAAGAGTGTTTCCAAACTGCTGCATCAAAAGAGAGGTTCCACTCTGTTAGCTGAGTACACACATCACAAACTTGTTTCTCAGAATCCTTCTGTCTCGTTTTTATGGGAAGATATTTACTTTTCCACCGTAGGCATCAAAGCGCTCCAAATGTCCACATCCAGATACTCCAGAACGAGTGTTTCAAACCTGCTCTATGAAAGGGAATCTACAACTCTATGAGTTGAATGCAGACATCAGAAAGAAATTTCTGAGAATGCTGCTGTCTACCTTTTATTTGAATTCCCGCTTCCAACGAAATCCTCCAAGCTATCCAAATATCCACTTGCAGATTCCACAAAAAGAGTGTTTCAAAACTGCTCTCTATCAATGGCAAAGTTCAACCCTGTTAGTTGAGGACACATATCACCAACAAGTTTCTGAGAATGCTTCTGTCTATTTTTTATGGGAAGATATTTCCTTTTTCACCGTAGGCGTCAAGGCGATCGAAATGTCCACTTCCACAAACTACAAAAAGAGTGTTTCAAACCTGCTCTATGAAAGGCCATGTTCATCTCTATGAGTCGAATGGAAATATCCGAAAGAAATTTCTGGGAATGCTGCTGTCTAGTTTTTATATGAATTCCCGCTTCCAACGAAATCCTCAAAGCAATCCAAATATCCACTTGCAGAATCCACAAAAAGAGTGTTTCAAAACTGCGCTATGAATAGAAAGGTTCAACTCTTTTAGTTGAGTACACATATCACGAACAAGTTTCTGAGAATGCTTCCTGTCTGGCTTTTATTGGAAGACGTTTCCCTTTTCACCAAAGGCATCAAAGCGCTCCAAATGTCCACTTCCAGATTCTTCCAAAAGAGTGTTTCAAACGTGCTCAAAGTAAGGGAATGTTCAACTCTGTGACTTGAATGCAGATATCACCAAGTAGTTTCTAATAGTGCTTCTGTCTACATTTTAGATGATGATATTCCCGTTTCCAACGAAATCGTTAGAGCTATCCAAATATCCAGTTACAGTTTCTACCAAAAGGGTGTTTCCAAATTGCTGCATCAAAAGAAAGGTTCAACTCTGTTAGTTGAGGACACACATCACAAAGAAGTTTGTGAGAATGCTTCTGTCTAGATTTTGTATGATGATATTCCCTTTTCCAACGATATCGTTAAAGCAATCTAAATATCAATTTGCAGAATCCACAAAAATAGAGTTTCAAAGCTGCTCTGTAAAAAGAAAGGTTCCACTCTGTTAGCTGAGTACACACATCACAAACTTGTTTCTGAGAATCCTTCTGTCTCGTTTTTATGGGAAGATATTTACTTTTCCACCGTAGGCATCAAAGCGCTCCAAATGTCCACATCCAGATACTCCAGAACGAGTGTTTCAAACCTGCTCTATGAAAGGGAATCTTCAACTCTATGAGTTGAATGCAGACATCAGAAAGAAATTTCTGAGAATGCTGCTGTCTACCTTTTATTTGAATTCCCGCTTCCAACGAAATCCTCCAAGCTATCCAAATATCCACCTGCATTTTCCACAACAAGAGTGTTTCAAAACTGCTCTATCAATAGAAATGTTCAACTCCTTTGGCTGGGTACACACATCACAAACAAGTCTCTGAGAATGCTTCTGTCTAGTTTTTATGGGAAGACATTCCCTTTTTCACCAAAGGCATCAAAGCGCTCCAAATGTCCACTTCCAGACACTACAAAAAGAGTGTTTCCAACGTTCTCTAAGAAAGCGAATGTTCAACTCTGTGACTTGAATGCAGATGTCACAAAGTAGTTTCTGAGAGGGCTTCTGTCTAGATTTTAGATGATGATATTCCCGTTTCCAACGAAATCATTAGAGCTATCCAAATATCCACTTACAGTTTCTACAAAAAGAGTGTTTCCAAACTGCTGCATCAAAAGAGAGGTTCCACTCTGTTAGCTGAGTACACACATCACAAACTTGTTTCTCAGAATCCTTCTGTCTCGTTTTTCTGGGAAGATATTTACTTTTTCACCGTAGGCATCAAAGCGCTCCAAATGTCCACATCCAGATACTCCAGAAAGAGTGTTTCAAACCTGCTCTATGAAAGGGAATCTTCAACTCTATGAGTTGAATGCAGACATCAGAAAGAAATTTACTGAGAATGCTGCTGTCTACCTTTTATTTGAATTCCCGCTTCCAACGAAATCCTCCAAGCTATCCAAATATCCACTTGCAGATTCCACAAAAAGAGTGTTTCAAAACTGCTCTCTATCAATGGCAAAGTTCAACTCTGTTAGTTGAGGACACATATCACCAACAAGTTTCTGAGAATGCTTCTGTCTATTTTTTATGGGAAGATATTTCCTTTTTCACTGTAGGCGTCAAGGCGATCGAAATGTCCACTTCCACAAACTACAAAAAGAGTGTTTCAAACCAGCTCTATGAAAGGCGATGTTCATCTCTATGAGTTGAATGGAAATATCCGAAAGAAATTTCTGGGAATGCTGCTGTCTAGTGTTTATACGAATTCCCGCTTCCAACGAAATCCTCAAAGCAATCCAAATATCCACTTGCAGAATCCACAAAAAGAGTGTTTCAAAACTGCTCTATCAATAGAAAGGTTCAACTCTTTTAGTTGAGTACACACATCACGAACAAGTTTCTCAGAATGCTTCTGTCTGGCTTTTATTGGAAGACGTTTCCTTTTCACCAAAGGCATCAAAGCGCTCCAAATGTCCACTTACAGATTCTTCCAAAAGAGTGTTTCAAACGTGCTCAAAGTAAGGGAATGTTCAACTCTGTGACTTGAATGCAGATATCACCAAGTAGTTTCTAATAGTGCTTCTGTCTAGATTTTAGATGATGATATTCCCGTTTCCAACGAAATCGTTAGAGCTATCCAAATATCCACTTACAGTTTCTACAAAAAGAGTGTTTCCAAACTGCTGCATCAAAAGAAAGGTTCAACTCTGTTAGTTGAGGACACACGTCACAAAGAAGTTTGTGAGCATGCTTCTGTCTAGATTTTGTATGACGATATTCCCTTTTCCAGCGATATCATTAAAGCAATCTAAATATCCATTTGCAGAATCCACAAAAATAGAGTTTCAAAGCTGCTCTGTAAAAAGAAAGGTTCCACTCTGTTAGCTGAGTACACACATCACAAACTTGTTTCTCAGAATCCTTCTGTCTCGTTTTTATGGGAAGATATTTACTTTTTCACCGTAGGCATCAAAGCGCTCCAAATGTCCACATACAGATACTCCAGAAAGAGTGTTTCAAACCTGCTCTATGAAAGGGAATCTTCAACTCTATGAGTTGAATGCAGACATCAGAAAGAAATTTCTGAGAATGCTGCTGTCTACCTTTTATTTGAATTCCCGCTTCCAACGAAAACCTCCAAGCTATCCAAATATCCACTTGCAGATTCTACAAAAAGAGTGTTTCAAAACTGCTCTATCAATAGAAATGTTCAACTCCTTTCGCTGGGTACACACATCACAAACAAGTTTCTGAGAAAGCTTCTGTCTAGTTTTTATGGGAAGACATTTCCTTTTTCACCAAAGGCATCAAAGAGCTCCAAATGTCCACTTCCAGATACTACAAAAAGAGTGTTTCAAAAGTGCTCTAAGAAAGCGAATGTTCAACTCTGTGACTTGAATGCAGATATTAAAAAGTAGTTTCTGAGAGTGCTTCTGTCCAGATTTTGTATGACGATATTCCCTTTTCCAACGGATATCGTTAAAGCAATCTAAATATCCATTTGCAGAATCCACAAAAATAGAGTTTCAAAGCTGCTCTGTAAAAAGAAAGGTTCCACTCTGTTAGCTGAGTACACACATCACAAACTTGTCTCTCAGAATCCTTCTGTCTCGTTTTTATGGGAAGATATTTACTTTTCCACCGTAGGCATCAAAGCGCTCCAAATGTCCACATCCAGATACTCCAGAAAGAGTGTTTCAAACCTGCTCTATGAAAGGGAATCTTCAACTCTATGAGTTGAATGCAGACATCAGAAAGAAATTTCTGAGAATGCTGCTGTCTACCCTTTATTTGAATTCCCGCTTCCAACGAAATCCTCCAAGCTATCCAAATATCCACTTGCAGATTCCACAAAAAGAGTGTTTCAAAACTGCTCTCTATCAATGGCAAAGTTCAACTCTGTTAGTTGAGGACACATATCACCAACAAGTTTCTGAGAATGCTTCTGTCTATTTTTTATGGGAAGATATTTCCTTTTTCACTGTAGGCGTCAAGGCGATCGAAATGTCCACTTCCACAAACTACAAAAAGAGTGTTTCAAACCTGCTCTATGAAAGGCGATGTTCATCTCTATGAGTTGAATGGAAATATCCGAAAGAAATTTACTGGGAATGCTGCTGTCTAGTTTTTATACGAATTCCCGCTTCCAACGAAATCCTCAAATCAATCCAAATATCCACTTGCAGAATCCACAAAAAGAGTGTTTCAAAACTGCTCTATGAATAGAAAGGTTCAACTCTTTTAGTTGAGTACACACATCACAAACAAGTTTCTGAGAATGCTGCTGTTGGGCTTTTATTGGAAGACGTTTCCTTTTCACCAAAGGCATCAAAGCGCTCCAAATGTCCACTTCCAGATTCTTCCAAAAGAGTGTTTCAAACGTGCTCAAAGTAAGGGAATGTTCAACTCTGTGACTTGAATGCAGATATCAAAAAGTAGTTTACTGAGAGTGCTTCTGTCTAGATTTTAGATGATGATATTCCCGTTTCCAACGAAATCGTTAGAGCTATCCAAATATCCAGTTACAGTTTCTACCAAAAGGGTGTTTCCAAATTGCTGCATCAAAAGAAAGGTTCAACTCTGTTAGTTGAGGACACACATCACAAAGAAGTTTGTGAGAATGCTTCTGTCTAGATTTTGTATGACGATATTCCCTTTTCCAACGATATCGTTAAAGCAATCTAAATATCAATTTGCAGAATCCACAAAAATAGAGTTTCAAAGCTGCTCTGTAAAAAGAAAGGTTCCACTGTGTTAGCTGAGTACACACATCACAAACTTGTTTCTCAGAATCCTTTCTGTCTCGTTTTTATGGGAAGATATTTACTTTTCCACCGTAGGCATCAAAGCGCTCCAAATGTCCACATCCAGATACTCCAGAACGAGTGTTTCAAACCTGCTCTATGAAAGGGAATCTTCAACTCTATGAGTTGAATGCAGACATCAGAAAGAAATTTCTGAGAATGCTGCTGTCTACCTTTTATTTGAATTCCCGCTTCCAACGAAATCCTCCAAACTATCCAAATATCCACCTGCATTTTCCACAACAAGAGTGTTTCAAAACTGCTCTATCAATAGAAATGTTCAACTCCTTTGGCTGGGTACACACATCACAAACAAGTCTCTGAGAATGCTTCTGTCTAGTTTTTATGGGAAGACATTCCCTTTTTCACCAAAGGCATCAAAGCGCTCCAAATGTCCACTTCCAGACACTACAAAAAGAGTGTTTCAAACGTGCTCTAAGAAACCGAATGTTCAACTCTGTGACTTGAATGCAGATATCACAAAGTAGTTTCTGAGAGGGCTTCTGTCTAGATTTTAGATGATGATATTCCCGTTTCCAACGAAATCATTAGAGCTATCCAAATATCCACTTACAGTTTCTACAAAAAGAGTGTTTCCAAACTGCTGCATCAAAACAGAGGTTCCACTCTGTTAGCTGAGTACACACATCACAAACTTGTTTCTCAGAATCCTCTGTCTCGTTTTTATGGGAAGATATTTACTTTTTCACCGTAGGCATCAAAGCGCTCCAAATGTCCACATCCAGATACTACAGAAAGAGTATTTCAAACCTGCCCTATGAAAGGGAATGTTCAACTCTATGAGTTGAATGCAGACATCAGAAAGCAATTTCTGAGAATGCTGGCTGTCTACCTTTTATTTGAATTCCCGCTTCCAACGAAATCCTCCAAGCTATCCAAATATCCACTTGCAGATTCCACAAAAAGAGTGTTTCAAAACTGCTCTCTATCAATGGCAAAGTTCAACTCTGTTAGTTGAGGACACATATCACCAACAAGTTTCTGAGAATGCTTCTGTCTATTTTTTATGGGAAGATATTTCCTTTTTCACCGTAGGCGTCAAGGCGATCGAAATGTCCACTTCCACAAACTACAAAAAGAGTGTTTCAAACCTGCTCTATGAAAGGCGATGTTCATCTCTATGAGTTGAATGGAAATATCCGAAAGAAATTTCTGGGAATGCTGCTGTCTAGTTGTTATACGAATTCCCGCTTCCAACGAAATCCTCAAAGCAATCCAAATATCCACTTGCAGAATCCACAAAAAGAGTGTTTCAAAACTGCTCTATCAATAGAAAGGTTCAACTCTTTTAGTTGAGTACACACATCTCAAACAAGTTTCTGAGAATGCTTCTGTCTGGCTTTTATTGGAAGACGTTTCCTTTTCACCAAAGGCATCAAAGCGCTCCAAATGTCCACTTCCAGATTCTTCCAAAAGAGTGTTTGAAACGTGCTCAAAGTAAGGGAATGTTCAACTCTGTGACTTGAATGCAGATATCACCAAGTAGTTTCTAATAGTGCTTCTGTCTAGATTTTAGATGATGATATTCCCGTTTCCAACGAAATCGTTAGAGCTATCCAAATATCCACTTACAGTTTCTACAAAAACAGTGTTTCCAAACTGCTGCATCAGAAGAAAAGTTCAACTCTGTTAGTTGAGGACACACATCACAAAGAAGTTTGTGAGAATGCTTCTGTCTAGATTTTGTATGACCATATTCCCTTTTCCAGCGATATCATTAAAGCAATCTAAATATCCATTTGCAGAATCCACAAAAATAGAGTTTCAAAGCTGCTCTGTAAAAAGAAAGGTTCCACTCTGTTAGCTGAGTACACACATCACAAACTTGTCTCTCAGAATCCTTCTGTCTCGTTTTTATGGGAAGATATTTACTTTTCCACCGTAGGCATCAAAGCGCTCCAAATGTCCACATCCAGATACTCCAGAACGAGTGTTTCAAACCTGCTCTATGAAAGGGAATCTTCAACTCTATGAGTTGAATGCAGACATCAGAAAGAAATTTCTGAGAATGCTGCTGTCTACCTTTTATTTGAATTCCCGCTTCCAACGAAATCCTCCAAGCTATCCAAATATCCACCTGCATTTTCCACAACAAGAGTGTTTCAAAACTGCTCTATCAATAGAAACGTTCAACTCCTTTGGCTGGGTACACACATCACAAACAAGTTTCTGAGAATGCTTCTGTCTAGTTTTTATGGGAAGACGTTCCCTTTTTCACCAAAGCCATCAAAGCGCTCCAAATGTCCACTTCCAGAGACTACAAAAAGAGTGTTTCAAACGTGCTCTAAGAAAGCGAATGTTCAACTCTGTGACTTGAATGCAGATATCACAAAGTAGTTTCTGAGAGTGCTTCTGTCTAGATTTTACATGATGATATTCCCGTTTTCAACGAAATCATTAGAGCTATCCAAATATCCACTTACAGTTTCTACAAAAAGAGTGTTTCCAAACTGCTGCATCAAAAGAGAGGTTCCACTCTGTTAGCTGAGTACACACATCACAAACTTGTTTCTCAGAATCCTTCTGTCTAGTTTTTATGGGAAGATATTTACTTTTTCACCGTAGGTATCAAAGCGCTCCAAATGTCCACATCCAGATACTACAGAAAGAGTGTTTCAAACCTGCGCTATGAAAGGGAGTTTTCAACTCTATGAGTTGAATGCAGACATCAGAAAGTAATTTCTGAGAATGCTTCTTCAATTTTTTATGGGAAGACATTTCCTTTTTCACCGTAGGCGTCAAAGCGCTCCAAATGTCCACATCCAGATAGTACAGAAAGAGTGTTTCAAACCTGCTCTATTAAAGGGAATGTTCAACTCTATGAGTTGAATGCAAACATCAGAAAGATATTTCTGAGAATGCTTCTGTCTATTTTTTATGGGAAGATATTTCCTTTTTCACCGTAGGCGTCAAGGCGATCGAAATGTCCACTTCCACAAACTACAAAAAGAGTGTTTCAAACCTGCTCTATGAAAGGCCATGTTCATCTCTATGAGTTGAATGGAAATATCCGAAAGAAATTTCTGGGAATGCTGCTGTCTAGTTGTTATACGAATTCCCGCTTCCAACGAAATCCTCAAAGCAATCCAAATATCCACTTGCAGAATCCAAAAAAAGAGTGTTTCAAAACTGCTCTATCAATAGAAAGGTTCAACTCTTTTAGTTGAGTACACACATCACAAACAAGTTTCTGAGAATGCTTCTCTCTGGCTTTTATTGGAAGACGTTTCCTTTTCACCAAAGGCATCAAAGCGCTCCAAATGTCCACTTCCAGATTCTTCCAAAAGAGTGTTTCAAACGTGCTCAAAGTAAGGGAATGTTCAACTCTGTGACTTGAATGCAGATATCACCAAGTAGTTTCTAATAGTGCTTCTGTCTACATTTTAGATGATGATATTCCCGTTTCCAACGAAATCGTTAGAGCTATCCAAATATCCAGTTACAGTTTCTACCAAAAGGGTGTTTCCAAATTGCTGCATCAAAAGAAAGGTTCAACTCTGTTAGTTGAGGACACACATCACAAAGAAGTTTGTGAGAATGCTTCTGTCTAGATTTTGTATGACGATATTCCCTTTTCCAACGATATCATTAAAGCAATCTAAATATCCATTTGCAGAATCCACAAAAATAGAGTTTCAAAGCTGCTCTGTAAAAAGAAAGGTTCCACTCTGTTAGCTGAGTACACACATCACAAACTTGTTCCTCAGAATCCTTCTGTCTCGTTTTTATGGGAAGATATTTACTTTTCCACCGTAGGCATCAAAGCGCTCCAAATGTCCACATCCAGATACTGCAGAACGAGTGTTTCAAACCTGCTCCATGAAAGGGAATCTTCAACTCTATGAGTTGAATGCAGACATCAGAAAGAAATTTCTGAGAATGCTGCTGTCTACCTTTTATTTGAATTCCCGCTTCCAACGAAATCCTCCAAGCTATCCAAATATCCACTTGCATTTTCCACAAAAAGAGTGTTTCATAACTGCTCTGTCAATAGAAATGTTCAACTCCTTTAGCTGGGTACACACATCACAAACAAGTTTCTGAGAATGCTTCTGCCTAGTTTTTATGGGAAGACATTCCCTTTTTCACCAAAGGAATCAAAGCGCTCCAAATGTCCACTTCCAGACACTACAAAAAGAGTGTTTCAAACGTGCTCTAAGAAAGCGAATGTTCAACTCTGTGACTTGAATGCAGATATCACACAGTAGTTTCTGAGAGTGCTTCTGTCTAGATTTTAGATGATGATATTCCCGTTTCCAACGAAATCATTAGAGCTATCCAAATATCCACTTACAGTTTCTACAAAAAGAGTGTTTCCAAACTGCTGCATCAAAAGAGAGGTTCCACTCTGTTAGCCGAGTACACACATCACAAACTTGTTTCTCAGAATCCTTCTGTCTCGTTTTTATGGGAAGATATTTACTTTTTCACCGTAGGCATCAAAGCGCTCCAAATGTCCACATCCAGATACTCCAGAAAGAGTGTTTCAAACCTGCTCTATGAAAGGGAATGTTCAACTCTACGAGTTGAATGCAGACATCAGAAAGAAATTTCTGAGAATGCTGCTGTCTACCTTTTATTTGAATTCCCGCTTCCAACGAAATCCTCCAAGCTATCCAAATATCCACTTGCAGATTCCACAAAAAGAGTGTTTCAAAACTGCTCTCTATCAATGGCAAAGTTCAACTCTGTTAGTTGAGGACACATATCACCAACAAGTTTCTGAGAATGCTTCTGTCTATTTTTTATGGGAAGATATTTCCTTTTTCACCATAGGCGTCAAGGCGATCGAAATGTCCACTTCCACAAACTACAAAAAGAGTGTTTCAAACCTGCTCTATGAAAGGCCATGTTCATCTCTATGAGTCGAATGGAAATATCCGAAAGAAATTTCTGGGAATGCTGCTGTCTAGTTTTTATACGAATTCCCGCTTCCAACGAAATCCTCAAAGCAATCCAAATATCCACTTGCAGAATCCACAAAAAGAGTGTTTCAAAACTGCTCTATCAATAGAAAGGTTCAACTCTTTTAGTTGAGTACACACATCACAAACAAGTTTCTGAGAATGCTTCTGTCTGGCTTTTATTGGAAGACGTTTCCTTTTCACCAAAGGCATCAAAGCGCTCCAAATGTCCACTTCCAGATTCTTCCAAAAGAGTGTTTCAAACGTGCTCGAAGTAAGGGAATATTCTACTCTGTGACTTGAATGCAGATATCACCAAGTAGTTTCTAATAGTGCTTCTGTCTAGATTTTAGATGATGATATTCCCGTTTCCAACGAAATCGTTAGAGCTATCCAAATATCCAGTTACAGTTTCTACCAAAAGGGTGTTTCCAAATTGCTGCATCAAAAGAAAGGTTCAACTCTGTTAGTTGAGGACACACATCACAAAGAAGTTTGTGAGAATGCTTCTGTCTAGATTTTGTATGACGATATTCCCTTTTCCAACGATATCGTTAAAGCAATCTAAATATCAATTTGCAGAATCCACAAAAATAGAGTTTCAAAGCTGCTCTTTAAAAAGAAAGGTTCCACTCTGTTAGCTGAGTACACACATCACAAACTTGTTTCTGAGAATCCTTCTGTCTCGTTTTTATGGGAAGATATTTACTTTTCCACCGTAGGCATCAAAGCGCTCCAAATGTCCACATCCAGATACTCCAGAACGAGTGTTTCAAACCTGCTCTATGAAAGGGAATCTTTAACTCTATGAGTTGAATGCAGACATCAGAAAGAAATTTCTGAGAATGCTGCTGTCTACCATTTATTTGAATTCCCGCTTCCAACGAAATCCTCCATGCTATCCAAATATCCACTTGCATTTTCCACAAAAAGAGTGTTTCAAAACTGCTCTATCAATAGAAATGTTCAACTCCTTTAGCTGGGTACACACATCACAAACAAGTTTCTGAGAATGCTTCTGTCTAGTTTTTATGGGAAGACATTCCCTTTTTCACCAAAGGCATCAAAGCACTCCAAATGTCCACTTCCAGACACTACAAAAAGAGTGTTTCAAACGTGCTCTAAGAAAGCGAATGTTCAACTCTGTGACTTGAATGCAGATATCACAAAGTAGTTTCTGAGAGGGCTTCTGTCTAGATTTTAGATGATGATATTCCCATTTCCAACGAAATCATTAGAGCTAACCAAATATCCACTTACAGTTTCTACAAAAAGAGTGTTTCCAAACTGCTGCATCAGAAGAGAGGTTCCACTCTGTTAGCTGAGTACACACATCACAAACTTGTTTCTCAGAATCCTTCTGTCTCGTTTTTATGGGAAGATATTTACTTTTTCATCGTAGGCCTCAAAGCGCTCCAAATGTCCACATCCAGATACTACAGAAAGAGTATTTCAAACCTGCTCTATGAAAGGGAATCTTCAACTCTATGAGTTGAATGCAGACATCAGAAAGAAATTTCTGAGAATGCTGCTGTCTACCTTTTATTTGAATTCCCGCTTCCAACGAAATCCTTCAAGCTATCCAAATATCCACTTGCTGATTCCACAAAAAGAGTGTTTCAAAACTGCTCTCTATCAATGGCAAAGTTCAACTCTGTTAGTTGAGGACACATATCACCAACAACTTTCTGAGAATGCTTCTGTCTATTTTTTATGGGAAGATATTTCCTTTTTCACCGTAGGCGTCAAGGCGATCGAAATGTCCACTTCCACAAACTACAAAAAGAGTGTTTCAAACCTGCTCTATGAAAGGCCATGTTCATCTCTATGAGTCGAATGGAAATATCCGAAAGAAATTTCTGGGAATGCTGCTGTCTAGTGTTTATACGAATTCCCGCTTCCAACGAAATCCTCAAAGCAATCCAAATATCCACTTGCAGAATCCACAAAAAGAGTGTTTCAAAACTGCTCTATCAATAGAAAGGTTCAACTCTTTTAGTTGAGTACACACATCACCAACAAGTTTCTGAGAATGCTTCTGTCTGGCTTTTATTGGAAGACGTTTCCTTTTCACCAAAGGCATCAAAGCGCTCCAAATGTCCACTTCCAGATTCTTCCAAAAGAGTGTTTCAAACGTGCTCGAAGTAAGGGAATGTTCAACTCTGTGACTTGAATGCTGATATCACCAAGTAGTTTCTAATAGTGCTTCTGTCTAGATTTTAGATGATGATATTCCCGTTTCCAATGAAATCGTTAGAGCTATCCAAATATCCACTTACAGTTTCTACAAAAAGAGTGTTTCCAAACTGCTGCATCAAAATAAAGGTTCAACTCTGTTAGTTGAGGACACACATCACAAAGAAGTTTGTGAGAATGCTTCTGTCCAGATTTTGTATGACGATATTCCCTTTTCCAATGATATCGTTAAAGCAATCTAAATATCCATTTGCAGAATCCACAAAAATAGAGTTTCAAAGCTGCTCTGTAAAAAGAAAGGTTCCACTCTGTTAGCTGAGTACACACATCACAAACTTGTCTCTCAGAATCCTTCTGTCTCGTTTTTATGGGAAGATATTTACTTTTTCACCGTAGGCATCAAAGCGCTCCAAATGTCCACATCCAGATACTCCAGAAAGAGTGTTTCAAACCTGCTCTAGGAAAGGGAATCTTCAACTCTATGAGTTGAATGCAGACATCAGAAAGAAATTTCTGAGAATGCTGCTGTCTACCTTTTATTTGAATTCCCGCTTCCAACGAAATCCTCCAAGCTATCCAAATATCCACCTGCATTTTCCACAAAAAGAGCGTTTCAAAACTGCTCTATCAATAGAAATGTTCAACTCCTTTGGCTGGGTACACACATCACAAACAAGTTTCTGAGAATGCTTCTGTCTAGTTTTTATGGGAAGACATTCCCTTTTTCACCAAAGGCATCAAAGCGCTCCAAATGTCCACTTCCAGACACTACAAAAAGAGTGTTTCCAACGTGCTCTAAGAAAGCGAATGTTCAACTCTGTGACTTGAATGCAGATATCACAAAGTAGTTTCTGAGAAGGCTTCTGTCTAGATTTTAGATGATGATATTCCCGTTTCCAACGAAATCATTAGAGCTATCCAAATAACCACTTACAGTTTCTACAAAAAGAGTGTTTCCAAACTGCTGCATCAAAAGAGAGGTTCCACTCTGTTAGCTGAGTACACACATCACAAACTTGTTTCTCAGAATCCTTTCTGTCTAGTTTTTATGGGAAGATATTTACTTTTTCACCGTAGGCATCAAAGAGTTCCAAATGTCCACATCCAGATAGTACAGAAAGAGTGTTTCAAACCTGCTCTATGAAAGGGAATGTTCAACTCTATGAGTTGAATGCAAGCATCACAAAGAAATTTCTGAGAATGCTGCTGTCTACCTTTTATTTGAATTCCCGCTTCCAACGAATTCCTCCAGGCTATCCAAATATCCACTTGCAGATTCCACAAACAGAGTGTTTCAAAACTGCTCTATCAATGGCAAGGTTCAACTCTGTCAGTTGAGGATACACATCACAAACAAGTTTCTGAGAATTCTTCTGTCTATTTTTTATGGGAAGATATTTCCTTTTTCACCGTAGGCGTCAAGGCGATCGAAATGTCCACTTCCACAAACTACAAAAAGAGTGTTTCAAACCTGCTCTATGAAAGGCCATGTTCATCTCTATGAGTCGAATGGAAATATCCGAAAGAAATTTCTGGGAATGCTGCTGTCTAGTGTTTATACGAATTCCCGCTTTCAACGAAATCCTCAAAGCAATCCAAATATCCACTTGCAGAATCCGCAAAAAGAGTGTTTCAAAACTGCTCTATCAATAGAAAGGTTCAACTCTTTTAGTTGAGTACACACATCACGAACAAGTTTCTGAGAATGCTTCTGTCTGGCTTTTATTGGAAGACGTTTCCTTTTCACCAAAGGCATCAAAGCGCTCCAAATGTCCACTTCCAGATTCTTCCAAAAGAGTGTTTCAAACGTGCTCAAAGTAAGGGAATGTTCAACTCTGTGACTTGAATGCAGATATCACCAAGTAGTTTCTAATAGTGCTTCTGTCTAGATTTTAGATGATGATATTCCCGTTTCCAACGAAATCGTTAGAGCTATCCAAATATCCAGTTACAGTTTCTACCAAAAGGGTGTTTCCAAATTGCTGCATCAAAAGAAAGGTTCAACTCTGTTAGTTGAGGACACACATCACAAAGCAAGTTTGTGAGAATGCTTCTGTCTAGATTTTGTATGACGATATTCCCTTTTCCAACGATATCGTTAAAGCAATCTAAATATCAATTTGCAGAATCCACAAAAATAGAGTTTCAAAGCTGCTCTGTAAAAAGAAAGGTTCCACTCTGTTAGGTGAGTACACACATCACAAACTTGTTTCTCAGAATCCTTCTGTCTCGTTTTTATGGGAAGATATTTACTTTTTCACCGTAGGCATCAAAGCGCTCCAAATGTCCACATCCAGATACTCCAGAAAGAGTGTTTCAAACCTGCTCTATGAAAGGGAATCTTCAACTCTATGAGTTGAATGCAGACATCAGAAAGAAATTTCTGAGAATGCTGCTGTCAACCTTTTATTTGAATTCCCGCTTCCAACGAAATCCTCCAAGCTATCCAAATATCCACCTGCATTTTCCACAAAAAGAGTGTTTCAAAACTGCTCTATCAATAGAAATGTTCAACCCCTTTGGCTGGGTACACACATCACAAACAAGTTTCTGAGAATGCTTCTGTCTACTTTTTAAGGGAAGACATTTCCTTTTTCACCAAAGGCATCAAAGCGCTCCAAATGTCCACTTCCAGATTCTACAAAAAGAGTGTTTCAAACCTGCTCTAAGTAAGGGAGTTTTCAACTCTGTGACTGGAATGCAGATATCACAAAGTAGTTTCTGAGACTGCTTCTGTCTAGATTTTAGATGATGATATTCCCGTTTCCAACGAAATCATTAGAGCTATCCAAATATCCACTTACATTTTCTACAAAAAGAGTGTTTCCAAACTGCTGCATCAAAAGAGAGGTTCCACTCTGTTAGCTGAGTACACACATCACAAACTTGTTTCTGAGAATCCTTCTGTCTCGTTTTTATGGGAAGATATTTACTTTTTCACCGTAGGCATCAAAGCGCTCCAAATGTCCACATCCAGATACTCCAGAAAGAGTGTTTCAAACCTGCTCTATGAAAAGGGAATCTTCAACTCTATGAGTTGAATGCAGACATCAGAAAGAAATTTCTGAGAATGCTGCTGTCTACCTTTTATTTGAATTCCCGCTTCCAACGAAATCCTCCAAGCTATCCAAATATCCACTTGCAGATTCCACAAAAAGAGTGTTTCAAAACTGCTCTCTATCAATGGCAAAGTTCAACTCTGTTAGTTGAGGACACATATCACCAACAAGTTTCTGAGAATGCTTCTGTCTATTTTTTATGGGAAGATATTTCCTTTTTCACCGTAGGCGTCAAGGCAATCGAAATGTCCACTTCCACAAACTACAAAAAGAGTGTTTCAAACCTGCTCTATGAAAGGCGATGTTCATCTCTATGAGTTGAATGGAAATATCCGAAAGAAATTTCTGGGAATGCTGCTGTCTAGGGTTTATACGAATTCCCGCTTCCAACGAAATCCTCAAAGCAATCCAAATATCCACTTGCAGAATCCACAAAAAGAGTGTTTCAAAACTGCGCTATCAATAGAAAGGTTCAACTCTTTTAGTTGAGTACACACATCACGAACAAGTTTCTGAGAATGCTTCTGTCTGGCTTTTATTGGAAGACGTTTCCTTTTCACCAAAGGCATCAAAGCGCTCCAAATGTCCACTTCCAGATTCTTCCAAAAGAGTGTTTGAAACGTGCTCAAAGTAAGGGAATGTTCAACTCTGTGACTTGAATGCAGATATCACCAAGTAGTTTCTAATAGTGCTCTGTCTAGATTTTAGATGATGATATTCCCGTTTCCAACGAAATCGTTAGAGCTATCCAAATATCCAGTTACAGTTTCTACCAAAAGGGTGTTTCCAAATTGCTGCATCAAAAGAAAGGTTCAACTCTGTTAGTTGAGGACACACATCACAAAGAAGTTTGTGAGAATGCTTTCTGTCTAGATTTTGAATGAAGATATTCCCTTTTCCATCGATATCGTTAAATCAACCCAAATATCAATTTGCAGAATCCACAGAAATAGAGTTTCAAAGCTGCTCTGTAAAAAGAAAGGATCCACTCTGTTAGCTGAGTACACACATCACAAACTTGTTTCTGAGCCTCCTGCTACCTTTTATTTGAATTCCCGCTTCCAACGAAATCCTCCAAGCTATCCAAATATCCACTTGCATTTTCCACAAAAAGAGTGTTTCAAAACTGCTCTATCAATAGAAATGTTCAACTCCTTTAGCTGGGTACACACATCACAAACAAGTTTCTGAGAATGCTTCTGTCTAGTTTTTATGGGAAGACGTTCCCTTTTTCACCAAAGGCATCAAAGTGCTCCAAATGTCCACTTCCAGACACTACAAAAAGAGTGTTTCCAACGTGCTCTAAGAAAGCGAATGTTCAACTCTGTTACTTGAATGCAGATATCACAAAGTAGTTTCTGAGAGGGCTTCTGTCTAGATTTTAGATGATGATATTCCCGTTTCCAACGAAATCATTAGAGCTATCCAAATATCCACATACAGTTTCTACAAAAAGAGTGTTTCCAAACTGCTGCATCAAAAGAGAGGTTCCACTCTGTTAGCTGAGTACACACATCACAAACTTGTTTCTCAGAATCCTGCTGTCTACCTTTTATTTGAATTCCCGCTTCCAACGAAATCCTCCAAGCTATCCAAATATCCACTTGCAGATTCCACAAAAAGAGTGTTTCAAAACTGCTCTCTATCAATGGCAAAGTTCAACTCTGTTAGTTGAGGACACATATCACCAACAAGTTTCTGAGAATGCTTCTGTCTATTTTTTATGGGAAGATATTTCCTTTTTCACCGTAGGCATCAAGGCGATCGAAATGTCCACTTCCACAAACTACAAAAAGAGTGTTTCAAACCTGCTCTATGAAAGGCGATGTTCATCTCTATGAGTTGAATGGAAATATCCGAAAGAAATTTCTGGGAATGCTGCTGTCTAGTTTTTATACGAATTCCCGCTTCCAACGAAATCCTCAAAGCAATCCAAATATCCACTTGCAGAATCCACAAAAAGAGTGTTTCAAAACTGCTCTATCAATAGAAAGGTTCAACTCTTTTAGTTGAGTACACACATCACAAACAAGTTTCTGAGAATGCTTCTCTCTGGCTTTTATTGGAAGACGTTTCCTTTTCACCAAAGGCATCAAAGCGCTCCAAATGTCCACTTCCAGATTCTTCCAAAAGAGTGTTTCAAACGTGGTCGAAGTAAGGGAATGTTCAACTGTGTGACTTGAATGCAGATATCACCAAGTAGTTTCTAATAGTGCTTCTGTCTAGATTTTAGATGATGATATTCCCGTTTCCAACGAAATCGTTAGAGCTATCCAAATATCCACTTACAGTTTCTACAAAAAGAGTGTTTCCAAACTGATGCATCAAAAGAAAGGTTCAACTCTGTTAGTTGAGGACACACATCACAAAGCAAGTTTGTGAGAATGCTTCTGTCTAGATTTTGTATGACGATATTCCCTTTTCCAACGATATCGTTAAAGCAATCTAAATATCCATTTGCAGAATCCACAAAAATAGAGTTTCAAAGCTGCTCTGTAAAAAGAAAGGTTCCACTCTGTTAGCTGAGTACACACATCACAAACTTGTTTCTCAGAATCCTTCTGTCTCGTTTTTATGGGAACATATTTACTTTTCCACCGTAGGCATCAAAGCGCTCCAAATGTCCACATCCGGATACTCCAGAACGAGTGTTTCAAACCTGCTCTATGAAAGGGAATCTTCAACTCTATGAGTTGAATGCAGACATCAGAAAGAAATTTCTGAGAATGCTGCTGTCTACCTTTTATTTGAATTCCCGCTTCCAACGAAATCCTCCAAGCTATCCAAATATCCACTTGCATTTTCCACAAAAAGAGTGTATCAAAACTGCTCTATCAACAGAAATGTTCAACTCCTTTAGCTGGGTACACACATCACAAACAAGTTTCTGAGAATGCTTCTGTCTAGTTTTTATGGGTAAACATTCCCTTTTTCACCAAAGGCATCAAAGCGCTCCAAATGTCCACTTCCAGACACTACAAAAAGAGTGTTTCAAACGTGCTCTAAGAAAGCGAATGTTCAACTCTGTGACTTGAATGCAGATATCACAAAGTAGTTTCTGAGAGTGCTTCTGTCTAGATTTTAGATGATGATACTCCCGTTTCCAACGAAATCATTAGAGCTATCCAAATATCCACTTACAGTTTCTACAAAAAGAGTGTTTCCAAACTGCTGCATCAAAAGAGAGGTTCCACTCTGTTAGCTGAGTACACACATCACAAACTTGTTTCTGAGAATCCTTCTGTCTCGTTTTTATGGGAAGATATTTACTTTCTCACCGTAGGCATCAAAGCGCTCCAAATGTCCACATCCAGATACTCCAGAAAGAGTGTTTCAAACCTGCTCTATGAAAGGGAATCTTCAACTCTATGAGTTGAATGCAGACATCAGAAAGAAATTTCTGAGAATGCTGCTGTCTACCTTTTATTTGAATTCCCGCTTCCAACGAAATCCTCTAAGCTATGCAAATATCCACTTGCAGATTCCACAAAAAGAGTGTTTCAAAACTGCTCTCTATCAATGGCAAAGTTCAACTCTGTTAGTTGAGGACACATATCACCAACAAGTTTCTGAGAATGCTTCTGTCTATTTTTTATGGGAAGATATTTCCTTTTTCACCGTAGGCGTCAAGGCGATCGAAATGTCCACTTCCACAAACTACAAAAAGAGTGTTTCAAACCTGCTCTATGAAAGGCCATGTTCATCTCTATGAGTCGAATGGAAATATCCGAAAGAAATTTCTGGGAATGCTGCTGTCTAGTTTTTATACGAATTCCCGCTTCCAACGAAATCCTCAAAGCAATCCAAATATCCACTTGCAGAATCCACAAAAAGAGTGTTTCAAAACTGCTCTATCAATAGAAAGGTTCAACTCTTTTAGTTGAGTGCACACATCACAAACAAGTTTCTGAGAATGCTTCTGTCTGGCTTTTATTGGAAGACGTTTCCTTTTCACCAAAGGCATCAAAGCGCTCCAAATGTCCACTTCCAGATTCTTCCAAAAGAGTGTTTGAAACGTGCTCAAAGTAAGGGAATGTTCAACTCTGTGACTTGAATGCAGATATCACCAAGTAGTTTCTAATAGTGCTCTGTCTAGATTTTAGATGATGATATTCCCGTTTCCAACGAAATCGTTAGAGCTATCCAAATATCCACTTACAGTTGCTACAAAAACAGTGTTTCCAAACTGCTGCATCAAAAGAAAGGTTCAACTCTGTTAGTTGAGGACACACGTCACAAAGAAGTTTGTGAGAATGCTTTCTGTCTAGTATTTTGTATGACCATATTCCCTTTTCCAACGATATCGTTAAAGCAATCTAAATATCAATTTGCAGAATCCACAAAAATAGAGTTTCAAAGCTGCTCTGTAAAAAGAAAGGTTCCACTCTGTTAGCTGAGTACACACATCACAAACTTGTTTCTGAGAATCCTTCTGTCTCGTTTTTATGGGAAGATATTTACTTTTTCACCGTAGGCATCAAAGCGCTCCAAATGTCCACATCCAGATACTCCAGAAAGAGTGTTTCAAACCTGCTCTATGAAAGGGAATCTTCAACTCTATGAGTTGAATGCAGACATCAGAAAGAAATTTCTGAGAATGCTGCTGTCTACCTTTTATTTGAACTCCCGCTTCCAACGAAATCCTCCAAGCTATGCAAATATCCACTTGCATTTTCCACAAAAAGAGTGTTTCAAAACTGCTCTATCAATAGAAATGTTCAACTCCTTTAGCTGGGTACACACATCACAAACAAGTTTCTGAGAATGCTTCTGTCTAGTTTTTATGGGTAGACGTTCCCCTTTTTCACCAAAGGCATCAAAGCGCTCCAAATGTCCACTTCCAGACACTACAAAAAGAGTGTTTCAAACGTGCTCTAAGAAAGCGAATGTTCAACTCTGTGACTTGAATGCACATATCACAAAGTAGTTTCTGAGAGGGCTTCTGTCTAGATTTTAGATGATTATATTCCCGTTTCCAACGAAATCATTAGAGCTATCCAAATATCCACTTACAGTTTCTACAAAAAGAGTGTTTCCAAACTGCTGCATCAAAAGAGAGGTTCCACTCTGTTAGCTGAGTACACACATCACAAACTTGTTTCTGAGAATCCTTCTTCAATTTTTTATGGGAAGACATTTCCTTTTTCACCGTAGGCATCAAAGCGCTCCAAATGTCCACATCCAGATAGTACAGAAAGAGTGTTTCAAACCTGCTCTATGAAAGGGAATGTTCAACTCTATGAGTTGAATGCAAACATCAGAAAGAAATTTCTGAGAATGCTGCTGTCTACCTTTTATTTGAATTCCCGCTTCCAACGAAATCCTCCAAGCTATCCAAATATCCACTTGCAGATTCCACAAAAAGAGTGTTTCAAAACTGCTCTCTATCAATGGCAAAGTTCAACTGCTGTTAGTTGAGGACACATATCACCAACAAGTTTCTGAGAATGCTTCTGTCTATTTTTTATGGGAAGATATTTCCTTTTTCACCGTAGGCGTCAAGGCGATCGAAATGTCCACTTCCACAAACTACAAAAAGAGTGTTTCAAACCTGCTCTATGAAAGGCCATGTTCATCTCTTTGAGTTGAATGGAAATATCCGAAAGAAATTTCTGGGAATGCTGCTGTCTAGTGTTTATACGAATTCCCGCTTCCAACGAAATCCTCAAAGCAATCCAAATATCCACTTGCAGAATCCACAAAAAGAGTGTTTCAAAACTGCTCTATCAATAGAAAGGTTCAACTCTTTTAGTTGAGTACACACATCATGAACAAGTTTCTGAGAATGCTTCTGTCTGGCTTTTATTGGAAGACGTTTCCTTTTCACCAAAGGCATCAAAGCGCTCCAAATGTCCACTTCCAGATTCTTCCAAAAGAGTGTTTCAAACGTGCTCGAAGTAAGGGAATGTTCTACTCTGTGACTTGAATGCAGATATCACCAAGTAGTTTCTAATAGTGCTTCTGTCTAGATTTTAGATGATGATATTCCCGTTTCCAACGAAATCGTTAGAGCTATCCAAATATCCAGTTACAGTTTCTACCAAAAGGGTGTTTCCAAATTGCTGCATCAAAAGAAAGGTTCAACTCTGTTAGTTGAGGACACACATCACAAAGAAGTTTGTGAGAATGCTTCTGTCTAGATTTTGTATGACGATATTCCCTTTTCCAACGATATCATTAAAGCAATCTAAATATCCATTTGCAGAATCCACAAAAATAGAGTTTCAAAGCTGCTCTGTAAAAAGAAAGGTTCCACTCTGTTAGCTGAGTACACACATCACAAACTTGTTTCTCAGAATCCTTCTGTCTCGTTTTTATGGGAAGATATTTACTTTTTCACCGTAGGCATCAAAGCCCTCCAAATGTCCACATCCAGATACTCCAGAAAGAGTGTTTCAAACCTGCTCTATGAAAGGGAATCTTCAACTCTTATGAGTTGAATGCAGACATCAGAAAGAAATTTCTGAGAATGCTGCTGTCTACCTTTTATTTGAATTCCCGCTTCCAACGAAATCCTCCAAGCTATCCAAATATCCACCTGCATTTTCCACAACAAGAGTGTTTCAAAACTGCTCTATCAATAGAAATGTTCAACTCCTTTAGCTGGGTACACACATCACAAACAAGTTTCTGAGAATGCTTCTGTCTATTTTTTATGGGAAGACATTCCCTTTTTCACCAAAGGCATCAAAGCGCTCCAAATGTCCACTTCCAGACACTACAAAAAGAGTGTTTCAAACGTGCTCTAAGAAAGCGAATGTTCAACTCTGTGACTTGAATGCAGATATCACAAAGTAGTTTCTGAGAGGGCTTCTGTCTAGATTTTAGATGATGATATTCCCGTTTCCAACGAAATCATTAGAGCTATCCAAATATCCACTTACGGTTTCTACAAAAAGAGTGTTTCCAAACTGCTGCATCAAAAGAGAGGTTCCACTCTGTTAGCTGAGTACACACATCACAAACTTGTTTCTGAGAATCCTTCTGTCTCGTTTTTATGGGAAGATATTTACTTTTTCACCGTAGGCATCAAAGCGCTCCAAATGTCCACATCCAGATACTACAGAAAGAGTATTTCAAACCTGCCCTATGAAAGGGAATGTTCAACTCTATGAGTTGAATGCAGAGATCAGAAAGAAATTTGTGAGAATGCTGCTGTCTACCTTTTATTTGAATTCCCGCTTCCAACGAAATCCTCCAAGCTATCCAAATATCCACTTGCAGATTCCACAAAAAGAGTGTTTCAAAACTGCTCTTTATCAATGGCAAAGTTCAACTCTGTTAGTTGAGGACACATATCACCAACAAGTTTCTGAGAATGCTTCTGTCTATTTTTTATGGGAAGATATTTCCTTTTTCACCGTAGGCGTCAAGGCGATCGAAATGTCCACTTCCACAAACTACAAAAAGAGTGTTTCAAACCTGCTCTATGAAAGGCCATGTTCATCTCTATGAGTTGAATGGAAATATCCGAAAGAAATTTCTGGGAATGCTGCTGTCTAGTTGTTATACGAATTCCCGCTTCCAACGAAATCCTCAAAGCAATCCACATATCCACTTGCAGAATCCACAAAAAGAGTGTTTCAAAACTGCTCCATCAATAGAAAGGGTCAACTCTTTTAGTTGAGTACACACATCACGAACAAGTTTCTGAGAATGCTTCTGTCTGGCTTTTATTGGAAGACGTTTCCTTTTCACCAAAGGCATCAAAGCGCTCCAAATGTCCACTTCCAGATTCTTCCAAAAGAGTGTTTGAAACGTGCTCAAAGTAAGGGAATGTTCAACTCTGTGACTTGAATGCAGATATCACCAAGTAGTTTCTAATAGTGCTTCTGTCTAGATTTTAGATGATGATATTCCCGTTTCCAACGAAATCGTTAGAGCTATCCAAATATCCACTTACAGTTGCTACAAAAACAGTGTTTCCAAACTGCTGCATCAAAAGAAAGGTTCAACTCTGTTAGTTGAGGACACACGTCACAAAGAAGTTTGTGAGAATGCTTCTGTCTAGATTTTGTATGACCATATTCCCTTTTCCAGCGATATCATTAAAGCAATCTAAATATCCATTTGCAGAATCCACAAAAATAGAGTTTCAAAGCTGCTCTGTAAAAAGAAAGGTTCCACTCTGTTAGCTGAGTACACACATCACAAACTTGTTTCTGAGAATCCTTTCTGTCTCGTTTTTATGGGAAGATATTTACTTTTTCACCGTAGGCATCAAAGCGCTCCAAATGTCCACATCCAGATACTCCAGAAAGAGTGTTTCAAACCTGCTCTATGAAAGGGAATCTTCAACTCTATGAGTTGAATGCAGACATCAGAAAGAAATTTCTGAGAATGCTGCTGTCTACCTTTTATTTGAATTCCCGCTTCCAACGAAATCCTCCAAGCTATCCAAATATCCACTTGCATTTTCCACAAAAAGAGTGTTTCAAAACTGCTCTATCAATAGAAATGTTCAACTCCTTTAGCTGGGTACACACATCACAAATAAGTTTCTGAGAATGCTTCTGTCTAGTTTTTATGGGAAGACATTCCCTTTTTCACCAAAGACATCAAAGCGCTCCAAATGTCCACTTCCAGACACTACAAAAAGAGTGTTTCAAACGTGCTCTAAGAAAGCGAATGTTCAACTGCTGTGACTTGAATGCAGATATCACACAGTAGTTTCTGAGAGTGCTTCTGTCTAGCATTTTAGATGATGATATTCCCGTTTCCAACGAAATCATTAGAGCTATCCAAATATCCACTTACAGTTTCTACAAAAAGAGTGTTTCCAAACTACTGCATCAAAAGAGAGGTTCCACTCTGTTAGCTGAGTACACACATCACAAACTTGTTTCTCAGAATCCTTCTGTCTCGTTTTTATGGGAAGATATTTACTTTTTCACCGTAGGCATCAAAGCGCTCCAAATGTCCACATCCAGATACTACAGAAAGAGTATTTCAAACCTGCCCTATGAAAGGGAATGTTCAACTCTATGAGTTGAATGCAGAGATCAGAAAGAAATTTCTGAGAATGCTGCTGTCTACTTTTATTTGAATTCCCGCTTCCAACGAAATCCTCCAAGCTATCCAAATATCCACTTGCAGATTCAGGAAAAAGAGTGTTTCAAAACTGCTCTCTATCAATGGCAAAGTTCAACTCTGTTAGTTGAGGACACATATCACCAACAAGTTTCTGAGAATGCTTCTGTCTATTATTTATGGGAAGATATTTCCTTTTTCACCGTAGGCGTCAAGGCGATCGAAATGTCCACTTCCACAAACTACAAAAAGAGTGTTTCAAACCTGCTCTATGAAAGGCCATGTTCATCTCTATGAGTCGAATGGAAATATCCGAAAGAAATTTCTGGGAATGCTGCTGTCTAGTTTTTATACGAATTCCCGCTTCCAACGAAATCCTCAAAGCAATCCAAATATCCACTTGCAGAATCCACAAAAAGAGTGTTTCAAAACTGCTCTATCAATAGAAAGGTTCAACTCTTTTAGTTGAGTACACACATCACAAACAAGTTTCTGAGAATGCTTCTGTCTGGCTTTTATTGGAAGACGTTTCCTTTTCACCAAAGGCATCAAAGCGCTCCAAATGTCCACTTCCAGATTCTTCCAAAAGAGTGTTTGAAACGTGCTCAAAGTAAGGGAATGTTCAACTCTGTGACTTGAATGCAGATATCACCAAGTAGTTTCTAATAGTGCTTCTGTCTAGATTTTAGATGATGATATTCCCGTTTCCAATGAAATCGTTAGAGCTATCCAAATATCCAGTTACAGTTTCTACCAAAAGGGTGTTTCCAAATTGCTGCATCAAAAGAAAGGTTCAACTCTGTTAGTTGAGGACACACATCACAAAGAAGTTTGTGAGAATGCTTCTGTCTAGATTTTGTATGACGATATTCCCTTTTCCAACGATATCGTTAAAGCAATCTAAATATCAATTTGCAGAATCCACAAAAATAGAGTTTCAAAGCTGCTCTGTAAAAGGAAAGGTTCCACTCTGTTAGCTGAGTACACACATCACAAACTTCTTTCTGAGAATCCTTCTGTCTCGTTTTTATGGGAAGATATTTACTTTTTCACCGTAGGCATCAAAGCGCTCCAAATGTCCACATCCAGATACTCCAGAAAGAGTGTTTCAAACCTGCTCTATGAAAGGGAATCTTCAACTCTATGAGTTAAATGCAGACATCAGAAAGAAATTTCTGAGAATGCTGCTGTCTACCTTTTATTTGAATTCCCGCTTCCAACGAAATCCTCCAAGCTATCCAAATATCCACTTGCATTTTCCACAAAAAGAGTGTTTCAAAACTGCTCTATCAATGGAAATGTTCAACTCCTTTAGCTGGGTACACACATCACAAACAAGTTTCTGAGAATGCTTCTGTCCAGTTTTTATGGGAAGACGTTCCCTTTTTCACCAAAGGCATCAAAGCGCTCCAAATGTCCACTTCCAGACACTACAAAAAGAGTGTTTCCAACGTGCTCTAAGAAAGCGAATGTTCAACTCTGTGACTTGAATGCAGATATCACAAAGTAGTTTCTGAGAGGGCTTCTGTCTAGATTTTAGATGATGATATTCCCGTTTCCAACGAAATCATTAGAGCTATCCAAATATCCACTTACAGTTTCTACAAAAAGAGTGTTTCCAAACTGCTGCATCAAAAGAGAGGTTCCACTCTGTTAGCTGAGTACACACATCACAAACTTGTTTCTCAGAATCCTTCTGTCTCGTTTTTATGGGAAGATATTTACTTTTTCACCGTAGGCATCAAAGCGCTCCAAATGTCCACATCCAGATACTACAGAAAGAGTATTTCAAACCTGCCCTATGAAACGGAATGTTCAACTCTATGAGTTGAATGCAGAGATCAGAAAGAAATTTCTGAGAATGCTGCTGTCTACCTTTTATTTGAATTCCCGCTTCCAACGAAATCCTCCAAACTATCCAAATATCCACTTGCAGATTCAGGAAAAAGAGTGTTTCAAAACTGCTCTCTATCAATGGCAAAGTTCAACTCTGTTAGTTGAGGACACATATCACCAACAAGTTTCTGAGAATGCTTCTGTCTATTTTTTATGGGAAGATATTTCCTTTTTCACCGTAGGCGTCAAGGCGATCGAAATGTCCACTTCCACAAACTACAAAAAGAGTGTTTCAAACCTGCTCTATGAAAGGCCATGTTCATCTCTATGAGTCGAATGGAAATATCCGAAAGAAATTTCTGGGAATGCTGCTGTCTAGTGTTTATACGAATTCCCGCTTCCAACGAAATCTTCAAAGAAATCCAAATATCCACTTGCAGAATCCACAAAAAGAGTGTTTCAAAACTGCTCTATCAATAGAAAGGTTCAACTCTTTTAGTTGAGTACACACATCACGAACAAGTTTCTGAGAATGCTTCTGTCTGGCTTTTATTGGAAGACGTTTCCTTTTCACCAAAGGCATCAAAGCGCTCCAAATGTCCACTTCCAGATTCTTCCAAAAGAGTGTTTGAAACGTGCTCAAAGTAAGGGAATGTTCAACTCTGTGACTTGAATGCAGATATCACCAAGTAGTTTCTAATAGTGCTTCTGTCTAGATTTTAGATGATGATATTCCCGTTTCCAACGAAATCGTTAGAGCTATCCAAATATCCAGTTACAGTTTCTACCAAAAGGGTGTTTCCAAACTGCTGCATCAAAAGAAAGGTTCAACTCTGTTAGTTGAGGACACACATCACAAAGATGTTTGTGAGAATGCTTCTGTCTAGATTTTGTATGACGATATTCCCTTTTCCAACGATATTGTTAAAGCAATCTAAATATCAATTTGCAGAATCCACAAAAATAGAGTTTCCAAGCTGCTCTGTAAAAAGAAAGGTTCCACTCTGTTAGCTGAGTACACACATCACAAACTTGTTTCTGAGAATCCTTCTGTGTCGTTTTTATGGGAACATATTTACTTTTTCACCGTAAGCATCAAAGCGCTCCAAATGTCCACATCCAGATACTCCAGAAAGAGTGTTTCAAACCTGCTCTATGAAAGGGAATCTTCAACTCTATGAGTTGAATGCAGACATCAGAAAGAAATTTCTGAGAATGCTGCTGTCTACCTTTTATTTGAATTCCCGCTTCCAACGAAATCCTCCAAGCTATCCATATATCCACTTGCATTTTCCACAAAAAGAGTGCTTCAAAACTGCTCTATCAATAAATGTTCAACTCCTTTAGCTGGGTGCACACATCACAAACAAGTTTCTGAGAATGCTTCTGTCTAGTTTTTATGGGAAGACATTTCCTTTTTCACCAAAGGCATCAAAGAGCTCCAAATGTCCACTTCCAGATACTACAAAAAGAGTGTTTCAAAAGTGCTCTAAGAAAGCGAATGTTCAACTCTGTGACTTCAATGCAGATATCACAAAGTAGTTTCTGAGAGTGCTTCTGTCTAGATTTTAGATGATGATATTCCCGTTTCCAACGAAATCATTAGAGCTATCAAAATATCCACTTACAGTTTCTACAAAAAGAGTGTTTCCAAACTGCTGCATCAAAAGAGAGGTTCCACTCTGTTAGCTGAGTACACACATCACAAACTTGTTTCTCAGAATCCTTCTCTCTCGTTTTTATTGGAAGATATTTACTTTTTCACCGTAGGCCTCAAAGCGCTCCAAATGTCCACATCCAGATACTCCAGAAAGAGTGTTTCAAACCTGCTCTATGAAAGGGAATCTTCAACTCTATGAGTTGAATGCAGACATCAGAAAGAAATTTCTGAGAATGCTGCTGTCTACCTTTTATTTGAATTCCCGCTTCCAACGAAATCCTCCAAGCTATCCAAATATCCACTTGCAGATTCCACAAAAAGAGTGTTTCAAAACTGCTCTCTATCAATGGCAAAGTTCAACTCTGTTAGTTGAGGACACATATCACCAACAAGTTTCTGAGAATGCTTCTGTCTATTTTTTATGGGAAGATATTTCCTTTTTCACCGTAGGCGTCAAGGCGATCGAAATGTCCACTTCCACAAACTACAAAAAGAGTGTTTCAAACCTGCTCTATGAAAGGCCATGTTCTTCTCTATGAGTTGAATGGAAATATCCGAAAGAAATTTCTGGGAATGCTGCTGTCTAGTTTTTATACGAATTCCCGCTTCCAACGAAATCCTCAAAGCAATCCAAATATCCACTTGCAGAATCCACAAAAAGAGTGTTTCAAAACTGCTCTATCAATAGAAAGGTTCAACTCTTTTAGTTGAGTACACACATCACAAACAAGTTTCTGAGAATGCTCTGTCTGGCTTTTATTGGAAGACGTTTCCTTTTCACCAAAGGCATCAAAGCGCTCCAAATGTCCACTTCCAGATTCTTCCAAAAGAGTGTTTCAAACGTGCTCAAAGTAAGGGAATGTTCAACTCTGTGACTTGAATGCAGATATCACCAAGTAGTTTCTAATAGTGCTTCTGTCTACATTTTAGATGATGATATTCCCGTTTCCAACGAAATCGTTAGAGCTATCCAAATATCTAGTTACAGTTTCTACCAAAAGGGTGCTTCCAAATTGCTGCATCAAAAGAAAGGTTCAACTCTGTTAGTTGAGGACACACATCACAAAGAAGTTTGTGAGAATGCTTCTGTCTAGATTTTGTATGACGGTATTCCCTTTTCCAACGATATCGTTAAAGCAATCTAAATATCAATTTGCAGAATCCACAAAAATAGAGTTTCAAAGCTGCTCTGTAAAAAGAAAGGTTCCACTCTGTTAGCTGAGTACACACATCACAAACTTGTTTCTGAGAATCCTTCTGTCTCGTTTTTATGGGAAGATATTTACTTTTCCACCGTAGGCATCAAAGCGCTCCAAATGTCCACATCCAGATACTCCAGAACGAGTGTTTCAAACCTGCTCTATGAAAGGGAATCTTCAACTCTATGAGTTGAATGCAGACATCAGAAAGAAATTTCTGAGAATGCTGCTGTCTACCTTTTATTTGAATTCCCGCTTCCAACGAAATCCTCCAAGCTATCCAAATATCCACCTGCATTATCCACAACAAGAGTGTTTCAAAACTGCTCTATCAATAGAAATGTTCAACTCCTTTGGCTGGGTACACACATCACAAACAAGTTTCTGAGAATGCTCTGTCTAGTTTTTATGGGAAGACATTCCCTTTTTCACCAAAGGCATCAAAGCGCTCCAAATGTCCACTTCCAGACACTACAAAAAGAGTGTTTCCAACGTGCTCTAAGAAAGCGAATGTTCAACTCTGTGACTTGAATGCAGATATCACAAAGTAGTTTCTGAGAGGGCTTTCTGTCTAGATTTTACATGATGATATTCCCGTTTCCAATGAAATCATTAGAGCTTTCCAAATATCCACTTACAGTTTCTACAAAAAGAGTGTTTCCAAACTGCTGCATTCAAAAGAGAGGTTCCACTCTGTTAGCTGAGTACACACATCACAAACTTGTTTCTGAGAATCCTGCTGTCTACCTTTTTATTTGAATTCCCGCTTCCAACGAAATCCTCCAAGCTATCCAAATATCCACTTGCAGATTCCACAAAAAGAGTGTTTCAAAACTGCTCTCTATCAATGGCAAAGTTCAACTCTGTTAGTTGAGGACACATATCACCAACAAGTTTCTGAGAATGCTGCTGTCTAGTTTTTATATGAAATCCCGCTTCCAACGAAATGCTCAAAGCAATCCAAATATCCACTTGCAGATTCCACAAAAAGAGTGTTTCAAAACTGCTCTATCATAGAAAGGTTCAACTCTTTTAGTTGAGTACACACATCACAAACAAGTTTCTGAGAATGCTGCTGTCTAGTTTTTATACGAATTCCCGCTTCCAACGAAATCCTCAAAGCAATCCAAATATCCACTTGCAGAATCCACAAAAAGAGTGTTTCAAAACTGCTCTATCAATAGAAAGGTTCAACTCTTTTAGTTGAGTACACACATCACAAACAAGTTTCTGAGAATGCTTCTGTCTGGCTTTTATTGGAAGACGTTTCCTTTTCACCAAAGGCATCAAAGCGCTCCAAATGTCCACTTCCAGATTCTTCCAAAAGAGTGTTTGAAACGTGCTCAAAGTAAGGGAATGTTCAACTCTGTGACTTGAATGCAGATATCACCAAGTAGTTTCTAATAGTGCTTCTGTCTAGATTTTAGATGATGATATTCCCGTTTCCAACGAAATCGTTAGAGCTATCCAAATATCCAGTTACAGTTTCTACCAAAAGGGTGTTTCCAAATTGCTGCATCAAAAGAAAGGTTCAACTCTGTTAGTTGAGGACACACATCACAAAGAAGTTTGTGAGAATGCTTCTGTCTAGATTTTGTATGATGATATTCCCTTTTCCAACGATATCGTTAAAGCAATCTAAATATCAATTTGCAGAATCCACAAAAATAGAGTTTCAAAGCTGCTCTGTAAAAAGAAAGGTTCCACTCTGTTAGCTGAGTACACACATCACAAACTTGTTTCTGAGAATCCTTGCTGTCTACCTTTTATTTGAATTCCCGCTTCCAACGAAATCCTCCAAGCTATCCAAATATCAACTTGCATTTTCCACAAAAAGAGTGTTTCAAAACTGCTCTATCAATAGAAATGTTCAACTCCATTAGCTGGGTACACACATCACAAACAAGTTTCTGAGAATGCTTCTGTCTAGATTTTAGATGATGATATTCCCGTTTCCAACGAAATCGTTAGAGCTATCCAAATATCCACTTACAGTTTCTACAAAAAGAGTGTTTCCAAACTGCTGCATCAAAATAAAGGTTCAACTCTGTTAGTTGAGGACACACATCACAAAGAAGTTTGTGAGAATGCTTCTGTCTAGATTTTGTATGACGATATTCCCTTTTCCAACGATATCGTTAAAGCAATCTAAATATCAATTTGCAGAATCCACAAAAATAGAGTTTCAAAGCTGCTCTGTAAAAAGAAAGGTTCCACTCTGTTAGCTGAGTAGACACATCACAAACTTCTTTCTGAGAATCCTTCTGTCTAGTTTTTATGGGAAGATATTTACTTTTTCACCGTAGGCATCAAAGCGTTCCAAATGTCCACATCTAGATAGTACAGAAAGAGTGTTTCAAACCTGCTCTATGAAAGGGAATGTTCAACTCTATGAGTTGAATGCAAACATCACAAAGAAATTTCTGAGAATGCTGCTGTCTACCTTTTATTTGAATTCCCGCTTCCAACGAAATCCTCCAAGCTATCCAAATATCCACTTGCAGATTCCACAAAAAGAGTGTTTCAAAACTGCTCTCTATCAATGGCAAAGTTCAACTCTGTTAGTTGAGGACACATATCACCAACAAGTTTCTGAGTATGCTTCTGTCTATTTTTTATGGGAAGATATTTCCTTTTTCACCGTAGGCGTCAAGGCGATCGTAATGTCCACTTCCACAAACTACAAAAAGAGTGTTTCAAACCTGCTCTATGAAAGGCCATGTTCATCTCTATGAGTTGAATGGAAATATCCGAAAGAAATTTCTGGGAATGCTGCTGTCTAGTTTTTATACGAATTCCCGCTTCCAACGAAATCCTCAAAGCAATCCAAATATCCACTTGCAGAATCCACAAAAAGAGTGTTTCAAAACTGCTCTATCAATAGAAAGGTTCAACTCTTTTAGTTGAGTACACACATCACAAACAAGTTTCTGAGAATGCTTCTGTCTGGCTTTTATTGGAAGACGTTTCCTTTTCACCAAGGCATCAAAGCGCTCCAAATGTCCACTTCCAGATTCTTCCAAAAGAGTGTTTCAAACGTGCTCAAAGTAAGGGAATGTTCAACTCTGTGACTTGAATGCAGATATCACCAAGCAGTGTCTAATAGTGCTTCTCTCTAGATTTTAGATGATGATATTCCCGTTTCCAACGAAATCGTTAGAGCTATCCAAATATCCAGTTACAGTTTCTACCAAAAGGGTGTTTCCAAACTGCTGCATCAAAAGAAAGGTTCAACTCTGTTAGTTGAGGACACACATCACAAAGAAGTTTGTGAGAATGCTTCTGTCTAGATTTTGTATGACGATATTCCCTTTTCCAATGATATCGTTAAAGCAATCTAAATATCAATTTGCAGAATCCACAAAAATAGAGTTTCAAACCTGCTCTGTAAAAAGAAAGGTTCCACTCCGTTAGCTGAGTACACACATCACAAACTTGTTTCTCAGAATCCTTCTGTCTCGTTTTTATGGGAAGATATTTACTTTTTCACCGTAGGCATCAAAGCGCTCCAAATGTCCACATCCAGATACTCCAGAAAGAGTGTTTCAAACCTGCTCTAGGAAAGGGAATCTTCAACTCTATGAGTTGAATGCAGACATCAGAAAGAAATTTCTGAGAATGCTGCTGTCTACCTTTTATTTGAATTCCCGCTTCCAACGAAATCCTCCAAGCTATCCAAATATCCACCTGCATTTTCCACAAAAAGAGTGTTTCAAAACTGCTCTATCAATAGAAATGTTCAACTCCTTTGGCTGGGTACACACATCACAAACAAGTTTCTGAGAATGCTTCTGTCTAGTTTTTATGGGAAGACGTTCCCTTTTTCACCAAAGGCATCAAAGCGCTCCAAATGTCCACTTCCAGACACTACAGAAAGAGTGTTTGAAACGTGCTCTTAGAAAGCGAATGTTCAACTCTGTGACTTGAATGCAGATATCACAAAGTAGTTTCTGAGAGGGCTTCTGTCTAGATTTTAGATGATGATATTCCCGTTTCCAACGAAATCATTAGAGCTATCCAAATATCCACTTACAGTTTCTACAAAAAGAGTGTTTCCAAACTGCTGCATCAAAAGAGAGGTTCCACTCTGTTAGCTGAGTACACACATCACAAACTTGTTTCTCAGAATCCTTCTGTCTAGTTTTTATGGGAAGACGTTCCCTTTTTCACCAAAGGCATCCAAGCGCTCCAAATGTCCACATCCAGATACTCCAGAAAGAGTGTTTCAAACCTGCTCTATGAAAGGGAATCTTCAACTCTATGAGTTGAATGCAGACATCAGAAAGAAATTTCTGAGAATGCTGCTGTCTACCTTTTATTTGAATTCCCGCTTCCAACGAAATCCTCCAAGCTATCCAAATATCCACTTGCAGATTCCACAAAAAGAGTGTTTCAAAACTGCTCTCTATCAATGGCAAAGTTCAACTCTGTTAGTTGAGGACACATATCACCAACAAGTTTCTGAGAATGCTTCTGTCTATTTTTTATGGGAAGATATTTCCTTTTTCACCGTAGGCGTCAAGGCGATCGAAATGTCCACTTCCACAAACTACAAAAAGAGTGTTTCAAACCTGCTCTATGAAAGGCCATGTTCATCTCTATGAGTTGAATGGAAATATCCGAAAGAAATTTGCTGGGAATGCTGCTGTCTAGTGTTTATACGAATTCCCGCTTCCAACGAAATCCTCAAAGCAATCCAAATATCCACTTGCAGAATCCACAAAAAGAGTGTTTCAAAACTGCTCTATCAATGGAAAGGTTCAACACATTTAGTTGAGTACACACATCACAAACAAGTTTCTGAGAATGCTTCTGTCTGGCTTTTATTGGAAGACGTTTCCTTTTCACCAAAGGCATCAAAGCGCTCCAAATGTCCACTTCCAGATTCTTCCAAAAGAGTGTTTCAAACGTGCTCGAAGTAAGGGAATGTTCTACTCTGTGTCTTGAATGCAGATATCACCAAGTAGTTTCTAATAGTGCTTCTGTCTACATTTTAGATGATGATATTCCCGTTTCCAACGAAATCGTTAGAGCTATCCAAATATCCAGTTACAGTTTCTACCAAAAGGGTGTTTCCAAATTGCTGCATCAAAAGAAAGGTTCAACTCTGTTAGTTGAGGACACACATCACAAAGAAGTTTGTGAGAATGCTTCTGTCTAGATTTTGTATGACGATATTCCCTTTTCCAACGATATCGTTAAAGCAATCTAAATATCAATTTGCAGAATCCACAAAAATAGAGTTTCAAACCTGCTCTGTAAAAAGAAAGGTTCCACTCTGTTAGCTGAGTACACACATCACAAACTTGTTTCTGAGAATCCTTCTGTCTCGTTTTTATGGGAAGATATTTACTTTTCCACCGTAGGCATCAAAGCGCTCCAAATGTCCACATCCAGATACTCCAGAACGAGTGTTTCAAACCTGCTCTATGAAAGGGAATCTTCAACTCTATGAGTTGAATGCAGACATCAGAAAGAAATTTCTGAGAATGCTGCTGTCTACCTTTTATTTGAACTCCCGCTTCCAACGAAATCCTCCAAGCTACGCAAATATCCACTTGCATTTTCCACAAAAAGAGTGTTTCAAAACTGCTCTATCAATAGAAATGTTCAACTCCTTTAGCTGGGTACACACATCACAAACAAGTTTCTGAGAATGCTTCTGTCTAGTTTTTATGGGAAGACATTCCCTTTTTCACCAAAGGCATCAAAGCGCTCCAAATGTCCACTTCCAGACACTACAAAAAGAGTGTTTCCAACGTGCTCTAAGAAAGCGAATGTTCAACTCTGTGACTTGAATGCAGATATCACAAAGTAGTTTGCTGAGAGGGCTTCTGTCTAGATTTTAGATGATGATATTCCCGTTTCCAACGAAATCATTAGAGCTATCCAAATATCCACTTACAGTTTCTACAAAAAGAGTGTTTCCAAACTGCTGCATGAAAAGAGAGGTTCCACTCTGTTAGCTGAGTACACACATCACAAACTTGTTTCTCAGAATCCTTCTGTCTCGTTTTTATGGGAAGATATTTACTTTTTCACCGTAGGCATCAAAGCGCTCCAAATGTCCACATCCAGATACTCCAGAAAGAGTGTTTCAAACCTGCTCTATGAAAGGGAATGTTCAACTCTATGAGTTGAATGCAGACATCAGAAAGAAATTTCTGAGAATGCTGCTGTCTACCTTTTATTTGAATTCCCGCTTCCAACGAAATCCTCCAAGCTATCCAAATATCCACTTGCAGATTCCACAAAAAGAGTGTTTCATAACTGCTCTCTATCAATGGCAAAGTTCAACTCTGTTAGTTGAGGACACATATCACCAACAAGTTTCTGAGAATGCTTCTGTCTATTTTTTATGGGAAGATATTTCCTTTTTCACCGTAGGCGTCAAGGCGATCGAAATGTCCACTTCCACAAACTACAAAAAGAGTGTTTCAATATGAAAGGCCATGTTCATCTCTATGAGTTGAATGGAAATATCCGAAAGAAATTTCTGGGAATGCTGCTGTCTAGTGTTTATACGAATTCCCGCTTCCAACGAAATCCTCAAAGCAATCCAAATATCCACTTGCAGAATCCACAAAAAGAGGGTTTCAAAACTGCTCTATCAATAGAAAGGTTCAACTCTTTTAGTTGAGTACACACATCACGAACAAGTTTCTGAGAATGCTTCTGTCTGGCTTTTATTGGAAGACGTTTCCTTTTCACCAAAGGCATCAAAGCGCTCCAAATGTCCACTTCCAGATTCTTCCAAAAGAGTGTTTCAAACGTGCTCGAAGTAAGGGAATGTTCTACTATGTGACTTGAATGCAGATATCACCAAGTAGTTTCTAATAGTGCTTCTGTCTAGATTTTAGATGATGATATTCCCGTTTCCAACGAAATCGTTAGAGCTAAGCAAATATCCAGTTACAGTTTCTACCAAAAGGGTGTTTCCAAATTGCTGCATCAAAAGAAAGGTTCAACTCTGTTAGTTGAGGACACACATCACAAAGAAGTTTGTGAGAATGCTTCTGTCTAGATTTTGTATGACGATATTCCCTTTTCCAACGATATCATTAAAGCAATCTAAATATCCATTTGCAGAATCCACAAAAATAGAGTTTCAAAGCTGCTCTGTAAAAAGAAAGGTTCCACTCTGTTAGCTGAGTACACACATCACAAACTTGTTTCTCAGAATCCTTGTCTGTCTCGTTTTTCTGGGAAGATATTTACTTTTTCACCGTAGGCATCAAAGCGCTCCAAATGTACACATCCAGATACTCCAGAAAGAGTGTTTCAAACCTGCTCTATGAAAGGGAATCTTCAACTCTATGAGTTGAATGCAGACATCAGAAAGAAATTTCTGAGAATGCTGCTGTCTACCTTTTATTTGAATTCCCGCTTCCAACGAAATCCTCCAAGCTATCCAAATATCCACTTGCATTTTCCACAAAAAGAGTGTTTCAAAACTACTCTATCAATAGAAATGTTCAACTCCTTTAGCTGGGTACACACATCACAAACAACTTTCTGAGAATGCTTCTGTCTAGTTTTTATGGGAAGACGTTCCCTTTTTCACCAAAGGCATCAAAGCGCTCCAAATGTCCACTTCCAGACACTACAAAAAGAGTGTTTCAAACGTGCTCTAAGAAAGCGAATGTTCAACTCTGTGACTTGAATGCAGATATCACAAAGTAGTTTCTGAGAGGGCTTCTGTCTAGATTTTAGATGATGATATTCCCGTTTCCAACGAAATCATTAGAGCTATCCAAATATCCACTTACAGTTTCTACAAAAAGAGTGTTGCCAAACTGCTGCATCAAAAGAGAGGTTCCACTCTGTTAGCTGAGTACACACATCACAAACTTGTTTCTCAGATTCCTTCTGTCTCGTTTTTATGGGAAGATATTTACTTTTTCACCGTAGGCATCAAAGCGCTCCAAATGTCCACATCCAGAAACTCCAGAAAGAGTGTTTCAAACCTGCTCTATGAAAGGGAATGTTCAACTCTATGAGTTGAATGCAGACATCAGAAAGAAATTTCTGAGAATGCTGCTGTCTACCTTTTATTTGAATTCCCGCTTCCAACGAAATCCTCCAAGCTATCCAAATATCCACTTGCAGATTCCACAAAAAGAGTGTTTCAAAACTGCTCTCTATCAATGGCAAAGTTCAACTCTGTTAGTTGAGGACACATATCACCAACAAGTTTCTGAGAATGCTTCTGTCTATTTTTTATGGGAAGATATTTCCTTTTTCACCTTAGGCGTCAAGGCGATCGAAATGTCCACTTCCACAAACTACAAAAAGAGTGTTTCAAACCTGCTCTATGAAAGGCCATGTTCATCTCTATGAGTTGAATGGAAATATCCGAAAGAAATTTCTGGGAATGCTGCTGTCTAGTTGTTATACGAATTCCCGCTTCCAACGAAATCCTCAAAGCAATCCACATATCCACTTGCAGAATCCACAAAAAGAGTGTTTCAAAACTGCTCCATCAATAGAAAGGTTCAACTCTTTTAGTTGAGTACACACATCACGAACAAGTTTCTGAGAATGCTTCTGTCTGGCTTTTATTGGAAGACGTTTCCTTTTCACCAAAGGCATCAAAGCGCTCCAAATGTCCACTTCCAGATTCTTCCAAAAGAGTGTTTCAAACGTGCTCTAAGAAAGCGAATGTTCAACTCTGTGACTTGAATGCAGATATCACAAAGTAGTTTCTAATAGTGCTTCTGTCTAGATTTTAGATGATGATATTCCCGTTTCCAACGAAATCGTTAGAGCTATCCAAATATCCACTTACAGTTTCTACAAAAAGAGTGTTTCCAAACTGCTGCATCAAAAGAAAAGTTCAACTCTGTTAGTTGAGGACACACATCACAAAGAAGTTTGTGAGAATGCTTCTGTCTAGATTTTGTATGACGGTATTCCCTTTTCCAACGATATCGTTAAAACAATCTAAATATCAATTTGCAGAATCCACAAAAATAGAGTTTCAAAGCTGCTGTGTAAAAAGAAAGGTTCCACTCTGTTAGCTGAGTACACACATCACAAACTTGTTTCTGAGAATCCTTTCTGTCTCGTTTTTATGGGAAGATATTTACTTTTCCACCGTAGGCATCAAAGCGCTCCAAATGTCCACATCCAGATACTCCAGAACGAGTGTTTCAAACCTGCTCTATGAAAGGGAATCTTCAACTCTATGAGTTGAATGCAGACATCAGAAAGAAATTTCTGAGAATGCTGCTGTCTACCTTTTATTTGATTTCCCGCTTCCAACGAAATCCTCCAAGCTATCCAAATATCCACCTGCATTTTCCACAACAAGAGTGTTTCAAAACTGCTCTATCAATAGAAATGTTCAACTCCTTTGGCTGGGTACACACATCACAAACAAGTTTCTGAGAATGCTTCTGTCTAGTTTTTATGGGTAGACATTCCCTTTTTCACCAAAGGAATCAAAGCGCTCCAAATGTCCACTTCCAGACACTACAAAAAGAGTGTTTCAAACGTGCTCTAAGAAAGCGAATGTTCAACTCTGTGACTTGAATGCAGATATCACAAAGTAGTTTCTGAGAGTGCTTCTGTCTAGATTTAGATGATGATATTCCCGTTTCCAACGAAATCATTAGAGCTATCCAAATATCCACTTACAGTTTCTACAAAAAGAGTTTTTCCAAACTGCTGCATCAAAAGAGAGGTTCCACTCTGTTAGCTGAGTACACACATCACAAACTTGTTTCTCAGAATCCTTCTGTCTCGTTTTTATGGGAAGATATTTACTTTTTCACCGTAGGCATCAAAGCGCTCCAAATGTCCACATCCAGATACTCCAGAAAGAGTGTTTCAAACCTGCTCTATGAAAGGGAATGTTCAACTCTATGAGTTGAATGCAGACATCAGAAAGAAATTTCTGAGAATGCTGCTGTCTACCTTTAATTTGAATTCCCGCTTCCAACGAAATCCTCCAAGCTATCCAAATATCCACTTGCAAACTCCACAAAAAGAGTGTTTCAAAACTGCTCTCTATCAATGGCAAAGTTCAACTCTGTTAGTTGAGGACACATATCACCAACAAGTTTCTGAGAATGCTTCTGTCTATTTTTTATGGGGAAGATATTTCCTTTTTCACCGTAGGCGTCAAGGCGATCGAAATGTCCACTTCCACAAACTACAAAAAGAGTGTTTCAAACCTGCTCTATGAAAGGCCATGTTCATCTCTATGAGTTGAATGGAAATATCCGAAAGAAATTTCTGGGAATGCTGCTGTCTAGTTGTTATACGAATTCCCGCTTCCAACGAAATCCTCAAAGCAATCCAAATATCCACTTGCAGAATCCACAAAAAGAGTGTTTCAAAACTGCTCTATCAATAGAAAGGTTCAACTCTTTTAGTTGAGTACACACATCTCAAACAAGTTTCTGAGAATGCTTCTGTCTGGCTTTTATTGGAAGACGTTTCCTTTTCACCAAAGGCATCAAAGCGCTCCAAATGTCCACTTCCAGATTCTTCCAAAAGAGTGTTTCAAACGTGCTCGAAGTAAGGGAATGTTCAACTCTGTGACTTGAATGCAGATATCACCAAGTAGTTTCTAATAGTGCTTCTGTCTAGATTTTAGATGATGGTATTCCCGTTTCCAACGAAATCGTTAGAGCTATCCAAATATCCACTTACAGTTTCTACCAAAAGGGTGTTTCCAAACTGCTGCATCAAAAGAAAGGTTCAACTCTGTTAGTTGAGGACACACTTCACAAAGCTGTTTGTGAGAATGCTTCTGTCCAGATTTTGTATGACGATATTCCCTTTTCCAACGATATCGTTAAAGCAATCTAAATATCAATTTGCAGAATCCACAAAAATAGAGTTTCAAAGCTGCTCTGTAAAAAGAAAGGTTCCACTCTGTTAGCTGAGTACACACATCACAAACTTGTTTCTGAGAATCCTTCTGTCTCGTTTTTATGGGAAGATATTTACTTTTTCACTGTAGGCATCAAAGCGCTCCAAATGTCCACATCCAGATACTACAGAAAGAGTATTTCAAACCTGTCCTATGAAAGGGAATGTTCAACTCTATGAGTTGAATGCAGACATCAGAAAGAAATTTCTGAGAATGCTGCTGTCTAACTTTTATTTGAATTCCCGCTTCCAACGAAATCCTCCAAGCTATCCAAATATCCACCTGCATTTTCCACAAAAAGAGTGTTTCAAAACTGCTCTATCAATAGAAATGTTCAACTCCTTTGGCTGGGTACACACATCACAAACAAGTTTCTGAGAATGCTTCTGTCTAGTTTTTATGGGAAGACATCTCCTTTTTCACCAAAGGCATCAAAGAGCTCCAAATGTCCACTTCCAGATACGACAAAAAGGGTGTTTCAAAAGTGCTCTAAGAAAGCGAATGTTCAACTCTGTGACTTGAATGCAGATATCACAAAGTAGTTTCTGAGAGTGCTTCTGTCTAGATTTTAGATGATGATATTCCCGTTTCCAACGAAATCATTAGAGCTATCCAAATATCCACTTACAGTTTCTACAAAAAGAGTGTTTCCAAACTGCTGCATCAAAAGAGAGGTTCCACTCTGTTAGCTGAGTACACACATCACAAACCTGTTTCTGAGAATCCTTCTTCAATTTTTTATGGGAAGACATTTCCTTTTTCACCGTAGGCGTCAAAGCGCTCCAAATGTCCACATCCAGATAGTACAGAAAGAGTGTTTCAAACCTACTCTATTAAAGGGAATGTTCAACTCTATGAGTTGAATGCAAACATCACAAAGAAATTTCTGAGAATGCTGCTGTCTACCTTTTATTTGAATTCCCGATTCCAACGAAATCCTCCAAGCTATCCAAATATCCACTTGCAGATTCCACAAAAAGAGTGTTTCAAAACTGCTCTCTATCAATGGCAAAGTTCAACTCTGTTAGTTGAGGACACATATCACCAACAAGTTTCTGAGAATGCTTCTGTCTATTTTTTATGGGAAGATATTTCCTTTTTCACCGTAGGCGTCAAGGCGATCGAAATGTCCACTTCCACAAACTACAAAAAGAGTGTTTCAAACCTGCTCTATGAAAGGCCATGTTCATCTCTATGAGTCGAATGGAAATATCCGAAAGAAATTTCTGGGAATGCTGCTGTCTAGTGTTTATACGAATTCCCGCTTCCAACGAAATCCTCAAAGCAATCCAAATATCCACTTGCAGAATCCACAAAAAGAGTGTTTCTAAACTGCTCTATCAATAGAAAGGTTCAACTCTTTTAGTTGAGTACACACATCACGAACAAGTTTCTGAGAATGCTTCTGTCTGGCTTTTATTGGAAGACGTTTCCTTTTCACCAAAGGCATCAAAGCGCTCCAAATGTCCACTTCCAGATTCTTCCAAAAGAGTGTTTCAAACGTGCTCAAAGTAAGGGAATGTTCAACTCTGTGACTTGAATGCAGATATCACCAAGTAGTTTCTAATAGTGCTTCTGTCTAGATTTTAGATGATGATATTCCCGTTTCCAACGAAATCGTTAGAGCTATCCAAATATCCACTTACAGTTGCTACAAAAACAGTGTTTCCAAACTGCTGCATCAAAAGAAAGGTTCAACTCTGTTAGTTGAGGACACACGTCACAAAGAAGTTTGTGAGAATGCTTCTGTCTAGATTTTGTATGACGATATTCCCTTTTCCAACGATATCGTTAAAGCAATCTAAATATCAATTTGCAGAATCCACAAAAATAGAGTTTCAAAGCTGCTCTGTAAAAAGAAAGGTTCCACTCTGGTAGCTGAGTACACACATCACAAACTTGTTTCTGAGAATCCTTCTGTCTCGTTTTTATGGGAAGATATTTACTTTTCCACCATAGGCATCAAAGCGCTCCAAATGTCCACATCCAGACACTCCAGAACGAGTGTTTCAAACCTGCTCTATGAAAGGGAATCTTCAACTCTATGAGTTGAATGCAGACATCAGAAAGAAATTTCTGAGAATGCTGCTGTCTACCTTTTATTTGAATTCCCGCTTCCAACGAAATCCTCCAAGCTATCCAAATATCCACTTGCATTTTCCACAAAAAGAGTGTTTCAAAACTGCTCTATCAATAGAAATGTTCAACTCCTTTAGCTGGGTACACACATCACAAACAAGTTTCTGAGAATGCTTCTGTCTAGTTTTTATGGGAAGACGTTCCCTTTTTCACCAAAGGCATCAAAGCGCTCCAAATGTCCACTTCCAGACACTACAAAAAGAGTGTTTCAAACGTGCTCTAAGAAAGCGAATGTTCAACTCTGTGACTTGAATGCAGATATCACAAAGTAGTTTCTGAGAGGGCTTTCTGCCTAGATTTTAGATGATGATATTCCCGTTTCCAACGAAATCATTAGAGCTATCCAAATATCCACTTACAGTTTCTGCAAAAAGAGTGTTTCCAAACTGCTGCATCAAAAGAGAGGTTCCACTCTGTTAGCTGAGTACACACATCACAAACTTGTTTCTCAGAATCCTTCTGTCTCGTTTTTATGGGAAGATATTTACTTTTTCACCGTAGGCATCAAAGCGCTCCAAATGTCCTCATCCAGATACTACAGAAAGAGTATTTCAAACCTGCCCTATGAAAGGGAATGTTCAACTCTATGAGTTGAATGCAGAGATCAGAAAGAAATTTCTGAGAATGCTGCTGTCTACCTTTTATTTGAATTCCCGCTTCCAACGAAATCCTCCAAGCTATCCAAATATCCACTTGCAGATTCCACAAAAAGAGTGTTTCAAAACTGCTCTCTATCAATGGCAAAGTTCAACTCTGTTAGTTGAGGACACATATCACCAACAAGTTTCTGAGAATGCTTCTGTCTATTTTTTATGGGAAGATATTTCCTTTTTCACCGTAGGCGTCAAGGCGATCGAAATGTCCACTTCCACAAACTACAAAAAGAGTGTTTCAAACCTGCTCTATGAAAGGCCATGTTCATCTCTATGAGTTGAATGGAAATATCTGAAAGAAATTTCTGGGAATGCTGCTGTCTAGTTTTTATACGAATTCCCGCTTCCAACGAAATCCTCAAAGCAATCCAAATATCCACTTGCAGAATCCACAAAAAGAGTGTTTCAAAACTGCTCTATCAATGGAAAGGTTCAACTCTTTTAGTTGAGTACACACATCACAAACAAGTTTCTGAGAATGCTTCTGTCTGGCTTTTATTGGAAGACGTTTCCTTTTCACCAAAGGCATCAAAGCGCTCCAAATGTCCACTTCCAGATTCTTCCAAAAGAGTGTTTCAAACGTGCTCAAAGTAAGGGAATGTTCAACTCTGTGACTTGAATGCAGATATCACCAAGTAGTTTCTAATAGTGCTTCTGTCTAGATTTTAGATGATGATATTCCCGTTTCCAACGAAATCGTTAGAGCTATCCAAATATCCAGTTACAGTTTCTACAAAAAGAGTGTTTCCAAACTGCTGCATCAAAAGAAAGGTTCAACTCTGTTAGTTGAGGACACACATCACAAAGAAGTTTGTGAGAATGCTTCTGTCTAGATTTTGTATGACCATATTCCCTTTTCCAGCGATATCATTAAAGCAATCTAAATATCCATTTGCAGAATCCACAAAAATAGAGTTTCAAAGCTGCTCTGTAAAAAGAAAGGTTCCACTCTGTTAGCTGAGTACACACATCACAAACTTGTTTACTCAGAATCCTTCTGTCTCGTTTTTATGGGAAGATATTTACTTTTCCACCGTAGGCATCAAAGCGCTCCAAATGTCCACATCCAGATACTCCGGAACGAGTGTTTCAAACCTACTCTATGAAAGGGAATCTTCAACTCTATGAGTTGAATGCAGACATCAGAAAGAAATTTCTGAGAATGCTGCTGTCTACCTTTTATTTGAACTCCCGCTTCCAACGAAATCCTCCAAGCTATCCAAATATCCACTTGCATTTTCCACAAAAAGAGTGCTTCAAAACTGCTCTATCAATAAATGTTCAACTCCTTTAGCTGGGTGCACACATCACAAACAAGTTTCTGAGAATGCTTCTGTCTAGTTTTTATGGGAAGACATTTCCTTTTTCACCAAAGGCATCAAAGAGCTCCAAATGTCCACTTCCAGATACGACAAATAGAGTGTTTCAAAAGTGCTCTAAGAAAGCGAATGTTCAACTCTGTGACTTGAATGCAGATATCAAAAAGTAGTTTCTTGAGAGTCCTTCTGTCTAGATTTTAGATGATGATATTCCCGTTTCCAACGAAATCATTAGAGCTATCCAAATATCCACTTACAGTTTCTACAAAAAGAGTGTTTCCAAACTGCTGCATCAAAAGAGAGGTTCCACTCTGTTAGCTGAGTACACACATCACAAACTTGTTTCTCAGAATCCTTCTGTCTCGTTTTTATGGGAAGATATTTACTTTTTCACCGTAGGCATCAAAGCGCTCCAAATGTCCACATCCAGATACTCCAGAACGAGTGTTTCAAACCTGCTCTATGAAAGGGAATCTTCAACTCTATGAGTTGAATGCAGACATCAGAAAGAAATTTCTGAGAATGCTGCTGTCTACCTTTTATTTGAATTCCCGCTTCCAACGAAATCCTCCAAGCTATCCAAATATCCACTTGCAGATTCCACAAAAAGAGTGTTTCAAAACTGCTCTCTATCAATGGCAAAGTTCAACTCTGTTAGTTGAGGACACATATCACCAACAAGTTTCTGAGAATGCTTCTGTCTATTTTTTATGGGAAGATATTTCCTTTTTCACCGTAGGCGTCAAGGCAATCGAAATGTCCACTTCCACAAACTACAAAAAGAGTGTTTCAAACCTGCTCTATGAAAGGCCATGTTCATCTCTATGAGTCGAATGGAAATATCCGAAAGAAATTTCTGGGAATGCTGCTGTCTAGTGTTTATACGAATTCCCGCTTGCAACGAAATCCTCAAAGCAATCCAAATATCCACTTGCAGAATCCACAAAAAGAGTGTTTCAAAACTGCTCTATCAATAGAAAGGTTCAACTCTTTTAGTTGAGTACACACATCACGACCAAGTTTCTGAGAATGCTTCTCTCTGGCTTTTATTGGAAGACGTTTCCTTTTCACCAAAGGCATCAAAGCGCTCCAAATGTCCACTTCCAGATTCTTCCAAAAGAGTGTTTCAAACGTGGTCGAAGTAAGGGAATGTTCAACTCTGTGACTTGAATGCAGATATCACCAAGTAGTTTCTAATAGTGCTTATGTCTAGATTTTAGATGATGATATTCCCGTTTCCAACGAAATCGTTAGAGCTATCCAAATATCCACTTACAGTTTCTACAAAAAGAGTGTTTCCAAACTGCTGCATCAAAAGAAAGGTTCAACTCTGTTAGTTGAGGACACACATCACAAAGAAGTTTGTGAGAATGCTTCTGTCTAGATTTTGTATGACGATATTCCCTTTTCCAACGATATCGTTAAAGCAATCTAAATATCCATTTGCAGAATCCACAAAAATAGAGTTTCAAAGCTGCTCTGTAAAAAGAAAGGTTCCACTCTGTTAGCTGAGTACACACATCACAAACTTGTTTCTGAGAATCCTTCTGTCTCGTTTTTATGGGAAGATATTTACTTTTTCACCGTAGGCATCAAAGCGCTCCAAATGTCCACATCCAGATACTCCAGAAAGGGTGTTTCAAACCTGCTCTATGAAAGGGAATCTTCAACTCTATGAGTTGAATGCAGACATCAGAAAGAAATTTCTGAGAATGCTGCTGTCTACCTTTTATTTGAATTCCCGCTTACAACGAAATCCTCCAAGCTATCCAAATATCCACTTGCAGATTCCACAAAAAGAGTGTTTCAAAACTGCTCTCTATCAATGGCAAAGTTCAACTCTGTTAGTTGAGGACACATATCACCAACAAGTTTCTGAGAATGCTTCTGTCTAGTTTTTATGGGTAGACATTCCCTTTTTCACCAAAGGAATCAAAGCGCTCCAAATGTCCACTTCCAGACACTACAAAAAGAGTGTTTCAAACGTGCTCTAAGAAAGGGAATGTTCAACTCTGTGACTTGAATGCAGATATCACAAAGTAGTTTCTGAGAGTGCTTCTGTCTAGATTTTAGATGATGATATTCCCGTTTCCAACGAAATCATTAGAGCTATCCAAATATCCACTTACAGTTTCTACAAAAAGAGTGTTTCCAAACTGCTGCATCAAAAGAGAGGTTCCACTCTGTTAGCTGAGTACACACATCACAAACTTGTTTCTCAGAATCCTTCTGTCTCGTTTTTATGGGAAGATATTTACTTTTTCACAGTAGGCATCAAAGCTCTCCAAATGTCCACATCCAGATACTCCAGAAAGAGTGTTTCAAACCTGCTCTATGAAAGGGAATCTTCAACTCTATGAGTTGAATGCAGACATCAGAAAGAAATTTCTGAGAATGCTGCTGTCTACCTTTTATTTGAATTCCCGCTTCCAACGAAATCCTCCAAGCTATCCAAATATCCACTTGCAGATTCCACAAAAAGAGTGTTTCAAAACTGCTCTCTATCAATGGCAAAGTTCAACTCTGTTAGTTGAGGACACATATCACCAACAAGTTTCTGAGAATGCTTCTGTCTATTTTTTATGGGAAGATATTTCCTTTTTCACCGTAGGCGTCAAGGCGATCGAAATGTCCACTTCCACAAACTACAAAAAGAGTGTTTCAAACCTGCTCTATGAAAGGCCATGTTCATCTCTATGAGTCAAATGGAAATATCCGAAAGAAATTTCTGGGAATGCTGCTGTCTAGTTTTTATACGAATTCCCGCTTCCAACGAAATCCTCAAAGCAATCCAAATATCCACTTGCAGAATCCACAAAAAGAGTGTTTCAAAACTGCTCTATCAATAGAAAGGTTCAACTCTTTTAGTTGAGTACACACATCACAAACAAGTTTCTGAGAATGCTTCTGTCTGTCTTTTATTGGAAGACGTTTCCTTTTCACCAAAGGCATCAAAGCGCTCCAAATGTCCACTTCCAGATTCTTCCAAAAGAGTGTTTCAAACGTGCTCAAAGTAAGGGAATGTTCAACTCTGTGTCTTGAATGCAGATATCACCAAGTAGTTTCTAATAGTGCTTCTGTCTAGATTTTAGATGATGATATTCCCGTTTCCAACGAAATCGTTAGAGCTATCCAAATATCCAGTTACAGTTTCTACCAAAAGGGTGTTTCCAAATTGCTGCATCAAAAGAAAGGTTCAACTCTGTTAGTTGAGGACACACATCACAAAGAAGTTTGTGAGAATGCTTCTGTCTAGATTTTGTATGACCATATTCCCTTTTCCAGCGATATCATTAAAGCAATCTAAATATCCATTTGCAGAATCCACAAAAATAGAGTTTCAAAGCTGCTCTGTAAAAAGAAAGGTTCCACTCTGTTAGCTGAGTACACACATCACAAACTTGTTTCTGAGAATCCTTCTGTCTCGTTTTTATGGGAAGATATTTACTTTTTCACCGTAGGCATCAAAGTGCTCCAAATGTCCACATCCAGATACTCCAGAAAGAGTGTTTCAAACCTGCTCTATGAAAGGGAATCTTCAACTCTATGAGTTGAATGCAGACATCAGAAAGAAATTTCTGAGAATGCTCTGTCTACCTTTTATTTGAATTCCCGCTTCCAACGAAATCCTCCAAGCTATCCAAATATCCACTTGCATTTTCCACAAAAAGAGTGTTTCAAAACTGCTCTATCAATAGAAATGTTCAACTCCTTTAGCTGGGTACACACATCACAAACAAGTTTCTGAGAATGCTTTCTGTCTAGTTTTTATGGGAAGACATTCCCTTTTTCACCAAAGGCATCAAAGCGCTCCAAATGTCCACTTCCAGACACTACAAAAAGAGTGTTTCCAACGTGCTCTAAGAAAGCGAATGTTCAACTCTGTGACTTGAGTGCAGATATCACAAAGTAGTTTCTGAGAGGGCTTCTGTCTAGATTTTGTATGAAGATATTCCCTTTTCCAACGATGTCGTTAAATCAACCCAAATATCAATTTGCAGAATCCACAGAAATAGAGTTTCAAAGCTGCTCTGTAAAAAGAAAGGATCCACTCTGTTAGCTGAGTACACACATCACAAACTTGTTTCTGAGAATCCTTCTGTCTAGTTTTTATGGGAAGATATTTACTTTTTCACTGTAGGTATCAAAGCGCTCCAAATGTCCACATCCAGATACTACAGAAAGAGTGTTTCAAACCTGCTCTATGAAAGGGAATCCTCAACTCTACGAGTTGAATGCAGACATCAGAAAGTAATTTCTGAGAATGCTGCTGTCTACCTTTTATTTGAATTCCCGCTTCCAACGAAATCCTGCCAAGCTATCCAAATATCCACTTGCAGATTCCACAAAAAGAGTGTTTCAAAACTGCTCTCTATCAATGGCAAAGTTCAACTCTGTTAGTTGAGGACACATATCACCAACAAGTTTCTGAGAATGCTTCTGTCTATTTTGTATGGGAAGATATTTCCTTTTTCAGCGTAGGCGTCAAGGCGATCGAAATGTCCACTTCCACAAACTACAAAAAGAGTGTTTCAAACCTGCTCTATGAAAGGCCATGTTCATCTCTATGAGTTGAATGGAAATATCCGAAAGAAATTTCTGGGAATGCTGCTGTCTAGTGTTTATACGAATTCCCGCTTCCAACGAAATCCTCAAAGCAATCCAAATATCCACTTGCAGAATCCACAAAAAGAGTGTTTCAAAACTGCTCTATCAATAGAAAGGTTCAACTCTTTTAGTTGAGTACACACATCACGAACAAGTTTCTGAGAATGCTTCTGTCTGGCTTTTATTGGAAGACGTTTCCTTTTCACCAAAGGCATCACAGTGCTCCAAATGTCCACTTCCAGATTCTTCCAAAAGAGTGTTTCAAACGTGCTCAAAGTAAGGGAATGTTCAACTCTGTGACTTGAATGCAGATATCACCAAGTAGTTTCTAATAGTGCTTCTGTCTAGATTTTAGATGATGATATGCCCGTTTCCAACGAAATCGTTAGAGCTATCCAAATATCCACTTACAGTTTCTACAAAAAGAGTGTTTCCAAACTGCTGCATCAAAAGAAAGGTTCAACTCTGTTAGTTGAGGACACACATCACAAAGAAGTTTGTGAGAATGCTTCTGTCTAGATTTTGTATGACGATATTCCCTTTTCCAACGATATCGTTAAAGCAATCTAAATATCCATTTGCAGAATCCACAAAAATAGAGTTTCAAAGCTGCTCTGTAAAAAGAAAGGTTCCACTCTGTTAGCTGAGTACACACATCACAAACTTGTTTCTCAGAATCCGCTGTCTACCTTTTATTTGAATTCCCGCTTCCAACGGAAATCCTCCAAGCTATCCAAATATCCACCTGCATTTTCCACAAAAAGAGTGTTTCAAAACTGCTCTATCAATAGAAATGTTCAACTCCTTTGGCTGGGTACACACATCACAAACAAGTTTCTGAGAATGCTTCTGTCTAGTTTTTATGGGAAGACATTCCCTTTTTCACCAAAGGCATCAAAGCGCTCCAAATGTCCACTTCCAGACACTACAAAAAGAGTGTTTCCAACGTACTCTAAGAAAGCGAATGTTCAACTCTGTGACTTGAATGCAGATATCACAAAGTAGTTTCTGAGAGGGCTTCTGTCTAGATTTTAGATGATGATATTCCCGTTTCCAACGAAATCATTAGAGCTATCCAAATATCCACTTACAGTTTCTACAAAAAGAGTGTTTCCAAACTGCTGCATCAAAAGAGAGGTTCCACTCTGTTAGCTGAGTACACACATCACAAACTTGTTTCTCAGAATCCTGCTGTCTACCTTTTATTTGAATTCCCGCTTCCAACGAAATCCTCCAAGCTATCCAAATATCCACTTGCAGATTCCACAAAAAGAGTGTTTCAAAACTGCTCTCTATCAATGGCAAAGTTCAACTCTGTTAGTTGAGGACACATATCACCAACAAGTTTCTGAGAATGCTTCTGTCTATTTTTTATGGGAAGATATTTCCTTTTTCACTGTAGGCATCAAGGCGATCGAAATGTCCACTTCCACAAACTACAAAAAGAGTGTTTCAAACCTGCTCTATGAAAGGCGATGTTCATCTCAATGAGTTGAATGGAAATATCCGAAAGAAATTTCTGGGAATGCTGCTGTCTAGTTTTTATATGAATTCCCGCTTCCAACGAAATCCTCAAAGCAATCCAAATATCCACTTGCAGAATCCACAAAAAGAGTGTTTCAAAACTGCGCTATCAATAGAAAGGTTCAACTCTTTTAGTTGAGTACACACATCACGAAGAAGTTTCTGAGAATGCTTCTGTCTGGCTTTTATTGGAAGACGTTTCCTTTTCACCAAAGGCATCAAAGCGCTCCAAATGTCCACTTCCAGATTCTTCCAAAAGAGTGTTTCAAACGTGCTCGAAGTAAGGGAATGTTCTACTCTGTGACTTGAATGCAGATATCACCAAGTAGTTTCTAATAGTGCTTCTGTCTAGATTTTAGATGATGATATTCCCGTTTCCAACGAAATCATTAGAGCTATCCAAATATCCACTTACAGTTTCTACAAAAAGAGTGTTTCCAAACTGCTGCATCAAAAGAGAGGTTCCACTCTGTTAGCTGAGGACACACATCACAAAGAAGTTTGTGAGAATGCTTCTGTCCAGATTTTGTATGACGATATTCCCTTTTCCAACGATATCATTAAAGCAATCTAAATATCCATTTGCAGAATCCACAAAAATAGAGTTTCAAAGCTGCTCTGTAAAAAGAAAGGTTCCACTCTGTTAGCTGAGTACACACATCACAAACTTGTTTCTGAGAATCCTTCTGTCTCGTTTTTCTGGGAAGATATTTACTTTTTCACTGTAGGCATCAAAGCGCTCCAAATGTCCACATCCAGATACTCCAGAAAGAGTGTTTCAAACCTGCTCTATGAAAGGGAATCTTCAACTCTATGAGTTGAATGCAGACATCAGAAAGAAATTTCTGAGAATGCTGCTGTCTACCTTTTATTTGAACTCCCGCTTCCAACGAAATCCTCCAAGCTATCCAAATATCCACTTGCATTTTCCACAAAAAGAGTGCTTCAAAACTGCTCTATCAATAAATGTTCAACTCCTTTGGCTGGGTGCACACATCACAAACAAGTTTCTGAGAATGCTTCTGTCTAGTTTTTATGGGAAGACATTCCCTTTTTCACCAAAGGCATCAAAGCGCTCCAAATGTCCACTTCCAGACACTACAAAAAGAGTGTTTCAAACGTGCTCTAAGAAAGCGAATGTTCAACTCTGTGACTTGAATGCAGATATCACAAAGTAGTTTCTGAGAGGGCTTTCTGTCTAGATTTTAGATGATGATATTCCCGTTTCCAACGAAATCATTACAGCTATCCAAATATCCACTTACAGTTTCTACAAAAAGAGTGTTTCCAAACTGCTGCATCAAAAGAGAGGTTCCACTCTGTTAGTTGAGTACACACATCACAAACTTGTTTCTCAGAATCCTTCTGTCTCGTTTTTATGGGAAGATATTTACTTTTTCACCGTAGGCATCAAAGCGCTCCAAATGTCCACATCCAGATACTCCAGAAAGAGTGTTTCAAACCTGCTCTATGAAAGGGAATGTTCAACTCTATGAGTTGAATGCAGACATCAGAAAGAAATTTCTGAGAATGCTGCTGTCTACCTTTTATTTGAATTCCCGCTTCCAACGAAATCCTCCAAGCTATCCAAATATCCACTTGCAGATTCCACAAAAAGAGTGTTTCAAAACTGGTCTCTATCAATGGCAAAGTTCAACTCTGTTAGTTGAGGACACATATCACCAACAAGTTTCTGAGAATGCTTCTGTCTATTTTTTATGGGAAGATATTTCCTTTTTCACCGTAGGCGTCAAGGCGATCTGAAATGTCCACTTCCACAAACTACAAAAAGAGTGTTTCAAACCTGCTCTATGAAAGGCCATGTTCATCTCTATGAGTCGAATGGAAATATCCGAAAGAAATTTCTGGGAATGCTGCTGTCTAGTGTTTATACGAATTCCCGCTTCCAACGAAATCCTCAAAGCAATCCAAATATCCACTTGCAGAATCCACAAAAAGAGTGTTTCAAAACTGCTCTATCAATAGAAAGGTTCAACTCTTTTAGTTGAGTACACACATCACGAACAAGTTTCTGAGAATGCTTCTGTCTGGCTTTTATTGGAAGACGTTTCCTTTTCACCAAAGGCATCAAAGCGCTCCAAATGTCCACTTCCAGATTCTTCCAAAAGAGTGTTTCAAACGTGCTCGAAGTAAGGGAATGTTCATCTCTGTGACTTGAATGCAGATATCACCAAGTAGTTTCTAATAGTGCTTCTGTCTAGATTTTAGATGATGATATTCCCGTTTCCAACGAAATCGTTAGAGCTATCCAAATATCCACTTACAGTTGCTACAAAAACAGTGTTTCCAAACTGCTGCATCAAAAGAAAGGTTCAACTCTGTTAGTTGAGGACACACATCACAAAGAAGTTTGTGAGAATGCTTCTGTCTAGATTTTGTATGACCATATTCCCTTTTCCAACGATATCGTTAAAGCAATCTAAATATCAATTTGCAGAATCCACAAAAATAGAGTTTCAAAGCTGCTCTGTAAAAAGAAAGGTTCCACTCTGTTAGCTGAGTACACACATCACAAACTTGTTTCTCAGAATCCTTCTGTCTCGTTTTTATGGGAAGATATTTACTTTTCCACCGTAGGCATCAAAGCACTCCAAATGTCCACATCCAGATACTCCAGAACGAGTGTTTCAAACCTGCTCTATGAAAGGGAATCTTCAACTCTATGAGTTGAATGCAGACATCAGAAAGAAATTTCTGAGAATGCTGCTGTCTACCTTTTATTTGAATTCCCGCTTCCAACGAAATCCTCCAAGCTATCCAAATATCCACTTGCATTTTCCACAAAAAGAGTGTTTCAAAACTGCTCTATCAATAGAAATGTTCAACTCCTTTGGCTGGGTACACACATCACAAACAAGTTTCTGAGAATGCTTCTGTCTAGTTTTTATGGGAAGACATTCCCTTTTTCACCAAAGGCATCAAAGCGCTCCAAATGTCCACTTCCAGACACTACAAAAAGAGTGTTTCCAACGTGCTCTAAGAAACCGAATGTTCAACTCTGTGACTTGAATGCAGATATCACAAAGTAGTTTCTGAGAGGGCTTCTGTCTAGATTTTAGATGATGATATTCCCGTTTCCAACGAAATCATTAGAGCTATCCAAATATCCACTTACAGTTTCTACAAAAAGAGTGTTTCCAAACTGCTGCATCAAAAGAGAGGTTCCACTCTGTTAGCTGAGTACACACATCACAAACTTGTTTCTCAGAATCCTTCTGTCTCGTTTTTATGGGAAGATATTTACTTTTTCACCGTAGGCATCAAAGCGCTCCAAATGTCCACATCCAGATACTCCAGAAAGAGTGTTTCAAACCTGCTCTATGAAAGGGAATGTTCAACTCTATGAGTTGAATGCAGACATCAGAAAGAAACTTCTGAGAATGCTGCTGTCTACCATTTATTTGAATTCCCGCTTCCAACGAAATCCTCCAAGCTATACAAATATCCACTTGCAGATTCAGGAAAAAGAGTGTTTCAAAACTGCTCTCTATCAATGGCAAAGTTCAACTCTGTTAGTTGAGGACACATATCACCAACAAGTTTCTGAGAATGCTTCTGTCTATTTTTTATGGGAAGATATTTCCTTTTTCACCGTAGGCGTCAAGGCGATCGAAATGTCCACTTCCACAAACTACAAAAAGAGTGTTTCAAACCTGCTCTATGAAAGGCCATGTTCATCTCTATGAGTTGAATGGAAATATCCGAAAGAAATTTCTGGGAATGCTGCTGTCTAGTTTTTATACGAATTCCCGCTTCCAACGAAATCCTCAAAGCAATCCAAATATCCACTTACAGAATCCACAAAAAGAGTGTTTCAAAACTGCTCTATCAATAGAAAGGTTCAACTCTTTTAGTTGAGTACACACATCACAAACAAGTTTCTGAGAATGCTTCTGTCTGGCTTTTATTGGAAGACGTTTCCTTTTCACCAAAGGCATCAAAGCGCTCCAAATGTCCACTTCCAGATTCTTCCAAAAGAGTGTTTGAAACGTGCTCAAAGTAAGGGAATGTTCAACTCTGTGACTTGAATGCAGATATCACCAAGTAGTTTCTAATAGTGCTTCTGTCTAGATTTTAGATGATGATATTCCCGTTTCCAACGAAATCGTTAGACCTATCCAAATATCCACTTACAGTTTCTACAAAAAGAGTGTTTCCAAACTGCTGCATCAAAAGAAAGGTTCAACTCTGTTAGTTGAGGACACACATCACAAAGAAGTTTCTGAGAAAGCTTCTGTCTAGATTTTGTATGACGATATTCCCTTTTCCAACGATATCGTTAAAGCAATCTAAATATCCATTTGCAGAATCCACAAAAATAGAGTTTCAAAGCTGCTCTGTAAAAAGAAAGGTTCCACTCTGTTAGCTGAGTGCACACATCACAAACTTGTTTCTGAGAATCCTGGCGTTTTCCTTTTATTTGAATTCCCGCTTCCAACGAAATCCTCCAAGCTATCCAAATATCCACTTGCATTTTCCACAAAAAGAGTGTTTCAAAACTGCTCTATCAATGGAAATGTTCAACTCCTTTAGCTGGGTACACACATCACAAACAAGTTTCTGAGAATGCTTCTGTCTAGTTTTTATGGGAAGACATTCCCTTTTTCACCAAAGGCATCAAAGCGCTCCAAATGTCCACTTCCAGACACTACAAAAAGAGTGTTTCAAACGTGCTCTAAGAAAGCGAATGTTCAACTCTGTGACTTGAATGCAGATATCACAAAGTAGTTTTTGAGAGGGCTTCTGTCTAGATTTTAGATGATGATATTCCCGTTTCCAAAGAAATCATTAGAGCTATCCAAATATCCACTTACAGTTTCTACAAAAAGAGTGTTTCCAAACTGCTGCATCAAAACAGAGGTTCCACTCTGTTAGCTGAGTACACACATCACAAACTAGTTTCTCAGAATCCTGCTGTCTACCTTTTATTTGAATTCCCGCTTCCAACTAAATCCTCCAAGCTATCCAAATATCCACTTGCAGATTCCACAAAAAGAGTGTTTCAAAACTGCTCTCTATCAATGGCAAAGTTCAACTCTGTTAGTTGAGGACACATATCACCAACAAGTTTCTGAGAATGCTTCTGTCTATTTTTTATGGGAAGATATTTCCTTTTTCACCGTAGGCGTCAAGGCGATCGAAATGTCCACTTCCACAAACTACAAAAAGAGTGTTTCAAACCTGCTCTATGAAAGGCCATGTTCATCTCTATGAGTTGAATGGAAATATCCGAAAGAAATTTCTGGGAATGCTGCTGTCTAGTGTTTATACGAATTCCCGCTTCCAACGAAATCCTCAAAGCAATCCAAATATCCACTTGCAGAATCCACAAAAAGAGTGTTTCAAAACTGCTCTATCAATAGAAAGGTTCAACTCTTTTAGTTGAGTACACACATCACCAACAAGTTTCTCAGAATGCTTCTGTCTGGCTTTTATTGGAAGACGTTTCCTTTTCACCAAAGGCATCAAAGCGCTCCAAATGTCCACTTCCAGATTCTTCCAAAAGAGTGTTTCAAACGTGCTCGAAGTAAGGGAATGTTCTACTCTGTGACTTGAATGCAGATATCACCAAGTAGTTTCTAATAGTGCTTCTGTCTAGATTTTAGATGATGATATTCCCGTTTCCAACGAAATCGTTAGAGCTATCCAAATATCCAGTTACAGTTTCTACCAAAAGGGTGTTTCCAAATTGCTGCATAAAAAGAAAGGTTCAACTCTGTTAGTTGAGGACACACATCACAAAGAAGTTTGTGAGAATGCTTCTGTCCAGATTTTGTATGACGATATTCCCTTTTCCAACGATATCGTTAAAGCAATCTAAATATCAATTTGCAGAATCCACAAAAATAGAGTTTCAAAGCTGCTCTGTAAAAAGAAAGGTTCCACTCAGTTAGCTGAGTACACACATCACAAACTTGTTTCTGAGAATCCTTCTGTCTCGTTTTTATGGGAAGATATTTACTTTTTCACCGTAGGCATCAAAGCGCTCCAAATGTCCACATCGAGATACTCCAGAAAGAGTGTTTCAAACCTGCTCTATGAAAGGGAATCTTCAACTCTATGAGTTGAATGCAGACATCAGAAAGAAATTTCTGAGAATGCTGCTGTCTACCTTTTATTTGAATTCCCGCTTCCAACGAAATCCTCCAAGCTGTCCAAATATCCACCTGCATTTTCCACAAAAAGAGTGTTTCAAAACTGCTCTATCAATAGAAATGTTCAACTCCTTTGGCTGGGTACACACATCACAAACAAGTTTCTGAGAATGCTTCTGTCTAGTTTTTATGGGAAGACATTCCCTTTTTCACCGAAGGCATCAAAGCGCTCCAAATGTCCACTTCCAGACACTACGAAAAGAGTGTTTCAAACGTGCTCTAAGAAACCGAATGTTCAACTCTGTGAGTTGAATGCAGATATCACAAAGTAGTTTCTGAGAGGGCTTCTGTCTAGATTTTAGATGATGATATTCCCGTTTCCAACGAAATCATTAGAACTATCCAAATATCCACTTACAGTTTCTACAAAAAGAGCGTTTCCAAACTGCTGCATCAAAAGAGAGGTTCCACTCTGTTAGCTGAGTACACACATCACAAACTTGTTTCTCAGAATCCTTCTGTCTAGCTTTTATGGGAAGATATTTTCTTTTTCACCGTAGGCATCAAAGCGTTCCAAATGTCCACATCCAGATAGTACAGAAAGAGTGTTTCAAACCTGCTCTATGAAAGGGAATCTTCAACTCTATGAGTTGAATGCAAACGTCACAAAGAAATTTCTGAGAATGCTGCTGTCTACCTTTTATTTGAATTCCCGCTTCCAACGAAATCCTCCAAGCTATCCAAATATCCACTTACAGATTCCACAAAAAGAGTGTTTCAAAACTGCTCTCTATCAATGGCAAAGTTCAACTCTGTTAGTTGAGGACACATATCACCAACAAGTTTCTGAGAATGCTTCTGTCTATTTTTTATGGGAAGATATTTCCTTTTTCACCGTAGGCGTCAAGGCGATCGAAATGTCCACTTCCACAAACTACAAAAAGAGTGTTTCAAACCTGCTCTATGAAAGGCCATGTTCATCTCTATGAGTTGAATGGAAATATCCGAAAGAAATTTCTGGGAATGCTGCTGTCTAGTGTTTATACGAATTCCCGCTTCCAACGAAATCCTCAAAGCAATCCAAATATCCACTTGCAGAATCCACAAAAAGAGTGTTTCAAAACTGCTCTATCAATAGAAAGGTTCAACTCTTTTTGTTGAGTACACACATCACGAACAAGTTTCTCAGAATGCTTCTGTCTGGCTTTTATTGGAAGACGTTTCCTTTTCACCAAAGGCATCAAAGCGCTCCAAATGTCCACTTCCAGATTCTTCCAAAAGAGTGTTTCAAACGTGCTCAAAGTAAGGGAATGTTCAACTCTGTGACTTGAATGCAGATATCACCAAGTAGTTTCTAATACTGCTTCTGTCTACATTTTAGATGATGATATTCCCGTTTCCAACGAAATCGTTAGAGCTATCCAAATATCCAGTTACAGTTTCTACCAAAAGGGTGTTTCCAAATTGCTGCATCAAAAGAAAGGTTCAACTCTGTTAGTTGAGGACACACATCACAAAGAAGTTTGTGAGAATGCTTCTGTCTAGATTTTGTATGAGGATATTCCCTTTTCCAACGATATCGTTAAAGCAATCTAAATATCAATTAGCAGAATCCACAAAACTAGAGTTTCAAAGCTGCTCTGTAAAAAGAAAGGTTCCACTCTGTTAGCTGAGTACACACATCACAAACTTGTTTCTGAGAATCCTGCTGTCTACCTTTTATTTGAATTCCCGCTTCCAACGAAATCCTCCAAGCTATCCAAATATCCACTTGCATTTTCCACAAAAAGAGTGTTTCAAAACTGCTCTATCAATAGAAATGTTCAACTCCTTTAGCTGGGTACACACATCACAAACAAGTTTCTGAGAATGCTTCTGTCTAGTTTTTATGGGAAGACATTCCCTTTTTCACCAAAGGCATCAAAGCGCTCCAAATGTCCACTTCCAGACACTAGAAAAAGAGTGTTTCAAACGTGCTCTAAGAAAGCGAATGTTCAACTCTGTGACTTGAATGCAGATATCACAAAGTAGTTTCTGAGAGGGCTTCTGTCTAGATTTTAGATGATGATATTCCCGTTTCCAACGAAATCATTAGAGCTATCCAAATATCCACTTACAGTTTCTACAAAAAGAGTGTTTCCAAACTGCTGCATCAAAAGAGAGGTTCCACTCTGTTAGCTGAGTACACACATCACAAACTTGTTTCTCAGAATCCTTATGTCTCGTTTTTATGGGAAGATATTTACTTTTTCACCGTAGGCATCAAAGCGCTCCAAATGTCCACATCCAGATACTCCAGAAAGAGTGTTTCAAACCTGCTCTATGAAAGGGAATCTTCAACTCTATGAGTTGAATGCAGACATCAGAAAGAAATTTCTGAGAATGCTGCTGTCTACCTTTTATTTGAATTCCCGCTTCCAACGAAATCCTCCAAGCTATCCAAATATCCACCTGCATTTTCCACAACAAGAGTGTTTCAAAACTGCTCTATCAATAGAAATGTTCAACTCCTTTGGCTGGGTACACACATCACAAACTAGTTTCTGAGAATGCTTCTGTCTATTTTTTATGGGAAGATATTTCCTTTTTCACCGTAGGCGTCAAGGCGATCGAAATGTCCACTTCCACAAACTACAAAAAGAGTGTTTCAAACCTGCTCTATGAAAGGCCATGTTCATCTCTATGAGTCGAATGGAAATATCCGAAAGAAATTTCTGGGAATGCTGCTGTCTAGTTTTTATACGAATTCCCGCTTCCAACGAAATCCTCAAAGCAATCCAAATATCCACTTGCAGAATCCACAAAAAGAGTGTTTCAAAACTGCTCTATCAATAGAAAGGTTCAACTCTTTTAGTTGAGTACACACATCACAAACAAGTTTCTGAGAATGCTTCTGTCTGGCTTTTATTGGAAGACGTTTCCTTTTCACCAAAGGCATCAAAGCGCTCCAAATGTCCACTTCCAGATTCTTCCAAAAGAGTGTTTCAAACGTGCTCGAAGTAAGGGAATGTTCAACTCTGTGACTTGAATGCAGATATCACCAAGTAGTTTCTAATAGTGCTTCTGTCTACATTTTAGATGATGATATTCCCGTTTCCAACGAAATCGTTAGAGCTATCCAAATATCCAGTTACAGTTTCTACCAAAAGGGTGTTTCCAAATTGCTGCATCAAAAGAAAGGTTCAACTCTGTTAGTTGAGGGCACACATCACAAAGAAGTTTGTGAGAATGCTTCTGTCTAGATTTTGCATGACGATATTCCCTTTTCCAACGATATCGTTAAAGCAATCTAAATACCAATTTGCAGAATCCACAAAAATAGAGTTTCAAAGCTGCTCTGTAAAAAGAAAGGTTCCACTCTGTTAGCTGAGTACACACATCACAAACTTGTTTCTGAGAATCCTTCTGTCTCGTTTTTATGGGAAGATATTTACTTTTCCACCGTAGGCATCAAAGCGCTCCAAATGTCCACATCCAGATACTCCAGAAAGAGTGTTTCAAACCTGCTCTATGAAAGGGAATCTTCAACTCTATGATTTGAATGCAGACATCAGAAAGAAATTTCTGAGAATGCTGCTGTCTACCTTTTATTTGAATTCCCTCTTCCAACGAAATCCTCCAAGCTATCCAAATATCCACTTGCATTTTCCACAAAAAGAGTGTTTCAAAACTGCTGTATCAATAGAAATGTTCAACTCCTTTAGCTGGGTACACACATCACAAACAAGTTTCTGAGAATGCTTCTGTCTAGTTTTTATGGGAAGACGTTCCCTTTTTCACCAAAGGCATCAAAGCGCTCCAAATGTCCACTTCCAGACACTACAAAAAGAGTGTTTCCAACGTGCTCTAAGAAAGCGAATGTTCAACTCTGTGACTTGAATGCAGATATCACAAAGTAGTTTCTGAGAGGGCTTCTGTCTAGATTTTAGATGATGATATTCCCGTTTCCAACGAAATCATTAGAGCTATCCAAATATCCACTTACAGTTTCTACAAAAAGAGTGTTTCCAAACTGCTGCATCAAAAGAGAGGTTCCACTCTGTTAGCTGAGTACACACATCACAAACTTGTTTCTCAGAATCCTTCTGTCTCGTTTTTATGGGAAGATATTTACTTTTTCACCGTAGGCATCAAAGCGCTCCAAATGTCCACATCCAGATACTACAGAAAGAGTATTTCAAACCTGCCCTATGAAAGGGAATGTTCAACTCTATGAGTTGAATGCAGACATCAGAAAGAAATTTCTGAGAATGCTGCTGTCTACCTTTTATTTGAATTCCCGCTTCCAACGAAATCCTCCCAACTATCCAAATATCCACTTGCAGATTCAGGAAAAAGAGTGTTTCAAAACTGCTCTCTATCAATGGCAAAGTTCAACTCTGTTAGTTGAGGACACATATCACCAACAAGTTTCTGAGAATGCTTCTGTCTATTTTTTATGGGAAGATATTTCCTTTTTCACCGTAGGCGTCAAGGCGATCGAAATGTCCACTTCCACAAACTACATAAAGAGTGTTTCAAACCTGCTCTATGAAAGGCCATGTTCATCTCTATGAGTTGAATGGAAATATCCGAAAGAAATTTCTGGGAATGCTGCTGTCTAGTGTTTATACGAATTCCCGCTTCCAACGAAATCCTCAAAGCAATCCAAATATCCACTTGCAGAATCCACAAAAAGAGTGTTTCAAAACTGCTCTATCAATAGAAAGGTTCAACTCTTTTAGTTGAGTACACACATCACGAACAAGTTTCTGAGAATGCTTCTGTCTGGCTTTTATTGGAAGACGTTTCCTTTTCAACAAAGGCATCAAAGCGCTCCAAATGTCCACTTCCAGATTCTTCCAAAAGAGTGTTTCAAACGTGCTCGAAGTAAGGGAATGTTCAACTCTGTGACTTGAATGCAGATATCACCAAGTAGTTTCTAATAGTGCTTCTGTCTAGATTTTAGATGATGATATTCCCGTTTACAACGAAATCGTTAGAGCTATCCAAATATCCAGTTACAGTTTCTACCAAAAGGGTGTTTCCAAATTGCTGCATCAAAAGAAAGGTTCAACTCTGTTAGTTGAGGACACACATCACAAAGAAGTTTGTGAGAATGCTTCTGTCTAGATTTTGTATGACGATATTCCCTTTTCCAACGATATCGTTAAAGCAATCTAAATATCAATTTGCAGAATCCACAAAAATAGACTTTCAAAGCTGCTCTGTAAAAAGAAAGGTTCCACTCTTTTAGCTGAGTACACACATCACAAACTTGTTTCTGAGAATCCTTCTGTCTCGTTTTTATGGGAAGATATTTACTTTTTCACCGCAGGCATCAAAGCGCTCCAAATGTCCACATCCAGATACTCCAGAAAGGGTGTTTCAAACCTGCTCTATGAAAGGGAATCTTCAACTCTATGAGTTGAATGCAGACATCAGAAAGAAATTTCTGAGAATGCTGCTGTCTACCTTTTATTTGAATTCCCGCTTCCAACGAAATCCTCCAAGCTATCCAAATATCCACCTGCATTTTCCACAAAAAGAGTGTTTCAAAACTGCTCTATCAATAGAAATGTTCAACTCCTTTGGCTGGGTACACACATCACAAACAAGTTTCTGAGAATGCTTCTGTCTAGTTTTTATGGGTAGACATTCCCTTTTTCACCAAAGGAATCAAAGCGCTCCAAATGTCCACTTCCAGACACTACAAAAAGAGTGTTTCAAACGTGCTCTAAGAAAGCGAATGTTCAACTCTGTGACTTGAATGCAGATATCACACAGTAGTTTCTGAGAGTGCTTTCTGTCTAGATTTTAGATGATGATATTCCCGTTTCCAACGAAATCATTAGAGCTATCCAAATATCCACTTACAGTTTCTACAAAAAGAGTGTTTCCAAACTGCTGCATCAAAAGAGAGGTTCCACTCTGTTAGCTGAGTACACACATCACAAACTTGTTTCTCAGAATCCTTCTGTCTAGTTTTTATGGGAAGATATTTACTTTTTCACCGTAGGTATCAAAGCGCTCCAAATGTCCTCATCCAGATACTACAGAAAGAGTGTTTCAAACCTGCTCTATGAAAGGGATTCTTCAACTCTATGGGTTGAATGCACACATCAGAAAGTAATTTCTGAGAATGCTGCTGTCTACCTTTTATTAGAATTCCCGCTTCCAACGAAATCCTCCAAGCTATCCAAATATCCACCTGCATTTTCCACAACAAGAGTGTTTCAAAACTGCTCTATCAATAGAAATGTTCAACTCCTTTGGCTGGGTACACACATCACAAACAAGTTTCTGAGAATGCTTCTGTCTATTGTTTATGGGAAGATATTTCCTTTTTCACCGTAGGCGTCAAGGCGATCGAAATGTCCACTTCCACAAACTACAAAAAGAGTGTTTCAAACCTGCTCTATGAAAGGCCATGTTCATCTCTATGAGTTGAATGGAAATATCCGAAAGAAATTTCTGGGAATGCTGCTGTCTAGTGTTTATACGAATTCCCGCTTCCAACGAAATCCTCTAAGCAATCCAAATATCCACTTGCAGAATCCACAAAAAGAGTGTTTCAAAACTGCTCTATCAATAGAAAGGTTCAACTCTTTTAGTTGAGTACACACATCACCAACAAGTTTGCTGAGAATGCTTCTGTCTGGCTTTTATTGGAAGACGTTTCCTTTTCACCAAAGGCATCAAAGCGCTCCAAATGTCCACTTCCAGATTCTTCCAAAAGAGTGTTTCAAACGTGCTCGAAGTAAGGGAATGTTCTACTCTGTGACTTGAATGCAGATATCACCAAGTAGTTTCTAATAGTGCTTCTGTCTAGATTTTAGATGATGATATTCCCGTTTCCAACGAAGTCGCTAGAGCTATCCAAATATCCAGTTACAGTTTCTACCAAAAGGGTGTTTCCAAATTGCTGCATCAAAAGAAAGGTTCAACTCTGTTAGTTGAGGACACACATCACAAAGAAGTTTGTGAGAATGCTTCTGTCTAGATTTTCTATGACGATATTCCCTTTTCCAACGATATCGTTAAAGCAATCTAAATATCAATTTGCAGAATCCACAAAAATAGAGTTTCAAAGCTGCTCTGTAAAAAGAAAGGTTCCACTCTGTTAGCTGAGTACACACATCACAAACTTGTTTCTGAGAATCCTTCTGTCTCGTTTTTATGGGAAGATATTTACTTTTTCACCGTAGGCATCAAAGCGCTCCAAATGTCCACATCCAGATACTCCAGAAAGAGTGTTTCAAACCTGCTCTATGAAAGGGAATCTTCAACTCTATGAGTTGAATGCAGACATCAGAAAGAAATTTCTGAGAATGCTGCTGTCTACCTTTTATTTGAATTCCCGCTTCCAACGAAATCCTCCAAGCTATCCAAATATCCACGTGCATTTTCCACAACAAGAGTGTTTCAAAACTGCTCTATCAATAGAAATGTTCAACTCCTTTGGCTGGGTACACACATCACAAACAAGTTTCTGAGAATGCTTCTGTCTAGTTTTTATGGGAAGACATTCCCTTTTTCACCAAAGGCATCAAAGCGCTCCAAATGTCCACTTCCAGACACTACAAAAAGAGTGTTTCAAACGTGCTCTAAGAAACCGAATGTTCAACTCTGTGACTTGAATGCAGATATCACAAAGTAGTTTCTGAGAGGGCTTCTGTCTAGATTTTAGATGATGATATTCCCGTTTCCAACGAAATCATTAGAGCTATCCAAATATCCACTTACAGTTTCTACAAAAAGAGTGTTTCCAAACTGCTGCATCAAAAGAGAGGTTCCCCTCTGTTAGCTGAGTACACACATCACAAACTTGTTTCTCAGAATCCTGCTGTCTACCTTTAATTTGAATTCCCGCTTCCAACGAAATCCTCCAAGCTATCCAAATATCCACTTGCAGATTCCACAAAAAGAGTGTTTCAAAACTGCTCTCTATCAATGGCAAAGTTCAACTCTGTTAGTTGAGGACACATATCACCAACAAGTTTCTGAGAATGCTTCTGTCTATTTTTTATGGGAAGATATTTCCTTTTTCACCGTAGGCGTCAAGGCGATTGAAATGTCCACTTCCACAAACTACAAAAAGAGTGTTTCAATATGAAAGGCCATGTTCATCTCTATGAGTTGAATGGAAATATCCAAAAGAAATTTCTGGGAATGCTGCTGTCTAGTTGTTATACGAATTCCCGCTTCCAACGAAATCCTCAAAGCAATCCAAATATCCACTTGCAGAATCCACAAAAAGAGTGTTTCAAAACTGCTCTGTCAATAGAAAGGTTCAACTCTGTTAGCTGCGTGCATATATCCCAAAGAAGATTCTGAGATTGCTTCTGTCTGGCTTTTATTGGAAGACGTTTCCTTTTCACCAAAGGCATCAAAGCGCTCCAAATGTCCACTTCCAGATTCTTCCAAAAGAGTGTTTGAAACGTGCTCAAAGTAAGGGAATGTTCAACTCTGTGACTTGAATGCAGATATCACCAAGTAGTTTCTAATAGTGCTTCTGTCTAGATTTTAGATGATGATATTCCCGTTTCCAACGAAATCGTTAGAGCTATCCAAATATCCACTTACAGTTTCTACAAAAAGAGTGTTTCCAAACTGCTGCATCAAAAGAAAGGTTCAACTCTGTTAGTTGAGGACACACGTCACAAAGAAGTTTGTGAGAATGCTTCTGTCCAGATTTTGTATGACGATATTCCCTTTTCCAACGATATCGTTAAAGCAATCTAAATATCCATTTGCAGAATCCACAAAAATAGAGTTTCAAAGCTGCTCTGTAAAAAGAAAGGTTCCACTCTGTTAGCTGAGTACACACATCACAAACTTGTCTCTCAGAATCCTTCTGTCTCGTTTTTATGGGAAGATATTTACTTTTTCACCGTAGGCATCAAAGCGCTCCAAATGTCCACATCCAGATACTCCAGAAAGAGTGTTTCAAACCTGCTCTATGAAAGGGAATCTTCAACTCTATGAGTTGAATGCAGACATCAGAAAGAAATTTCTGAGAATGCTGCTGTCTACCTTTTATTTGAACTCCTGCTTCCAACGAAATCCTCCAAGCTATCCAAATATCCACTTGCATTTTCCACAAAAAGAGTGCTTCAAAACTGCTCTATCAATAAATGTTCAACTCCTTTAGCTGGGTGCACACATCACAAACAAGTTTCTGAGAATGCTTCTGTCTAGTTTTTATTGGAAGATATTCCCTTTTTCACCAAAGGCATCAAAGCGCTCCAAATTTCCACTTCCAGACACTACAAAAAGAGTGTTTCAAACGTGCTCTAAGAAAGCGAATGTTCAACTCTGTGACTTGAATGCAGATATCACAAAGTAGTTTTTGAGAGGGCTTCTCTCTAGATTTTAGATGATGATATTCCCGTTTCCAACGAAATCATTAGAGCTATCCAAATATCCACTTACAGTTTCTACAAAAAAAGTGTTTCCAAACTGCTGCATCAAAAGACAGGTTCCACTCTGTTAGCTGAGTACACACATCACAAACTTGTTTCTGAGAATCCTTCTGTCTCGTTTTTATGGGAAGATATTTACTTTTTCACCGTAGGCATCAAAGCGCTCCAAATGTCCACATCCAGATACTCCAGAAAGAGTATTTCAAACCTGCCCTATGAAAGGGAATGTTCAACTCTATGAGTTGAATGCAGAGATCAGAAAGAAATTTCCTGAGAATGCTGCTGTCTACCTTTTATTTGAATTCCCGCTTCCAACGAAATCCTCCAAGCTATCCAAATATCCACTTGCAGATTCCAAAAAAAGAGTGTTTCAAAACTGCTCTCTATCAATGGCAAAGTTCAACTCTGTTAGTTGAGGGCACATATCACCAACAAGTTTCTGAGAATGCTTCTGTCTATTTTTTATGGGAAGATATTTCCTTTTTCACCGTAGGCGTCAAGGCGATCGAAATGTCCACTTCCACAAACTACAAAAAGAGTGTTTCAGTATGAAAGGCCATGTTCATCTCTATGAGTTGAATGGAAATATCCGAAAGAAATTTCTGGGAATGCTGCTGTCTAGTGTTTATACGAATTCCCGCTTCCAACGAAATCCTCAAAGCAATCCAAATATCCACTTGCAGAATCCACAAAAAGAGTGTTTCAAAACTGCTCTATCAATAGAAAGGTTCAACTCTTTTAGTTGAGTACACACATCACGAACAAGTTTCTGAGAATGCTTCTGTCTGGCTTTTATTGGAAGACGTTTCCTTTCCACCAAAGGCATCAAAGCGCTCCAAATGTCCACTTCCAGATTCTTCCAAAAGAGTGTTTCAAACGTGCTCAAAGTAAGGGAATGTTCAACTCTGTGACTTGAATGCAGATATCACCAAGTAGTTTCTAATAGTGCTTCTGTCTAGATTTTAGATGATGATATTCCCGTTTCCAACGAAATCGTTAGAGCTATCCAAATATCCACTTACAGTTGCTACAAAAACAGTGTTTCCAAACTGCTGCATCAAAAGAAAGGTTCAACTCTGTTAGTTGAGGACACACATCACAAAGAAGTTTGTGAGAATGCTTCTGTCTAGATTTTGTATGACGATATTCCCTTTTCCAACGATATCGTTAAAGCAATCTAAATATCCATTTGCAGAATCCACAAAAATAGAGTTTCAAAGCTGCTCTGTAAAAAGAAAGGTTCCACTCTGTTAGCTGAGTACACACATCACAAACTTGTTTGCTCAGAATCCTTCTGTCTCGTTTTTATGGGAAGATATTTACTTTTCCACCGTAGGCATCAAAGCGCTCCAAATGTCCACATCCAGATACTCCAGAACGAGTGTTTCAAACCTGCTCTATGAAAGGGAATCTTCAACTCTATGAGTTGAATGCAGACATCAGAAAGAAATTTCTGAGAATGCTGCTGTCTACCTTTTATTTGAATTCCCGCATCCAACGAAATCCTCCAAGCTATCCAAATATCCACTTGCATTTTCCACAACAAGAGTGTTTCAAAACTGCTCTATCAATAGAAACGTTCAACTCCTTTGGCTGGGTACACACATCACAAACAAGTTTCTGAGAATGCTTCTGTCTAGTTTTTATGGGTAGACATTCCCTTTTTCACAAAAGGAATCAAAGCGCTCCAAATGTCCACTTCCAGACACTACAAAAAGAGTGTTTCAAACGTGCTCTAAGAAAGCGAATGTTCAACTCTGTGACTTGAATGCAGATATCACAAAGTAGTTTCTGAGAGGGCTTCTGTCTAGATTTTAGATGATGATATTCCCGTTTCCAACGAAATCATTAAAGCTATCCAAATATCCACTTACAGTTTCTACAAAAAGAGTGTTTCCAAACTGCTGCATCAAAAGAGAGGTTCCACTCTGTTAGCTGAGTACACACATCACAAACTTGTTTCTCAGAATCCTTCTGTCTCGTTTTTATGGGAAGATATTTACGTTTTCACCGTAGGCATCAAAGCGCTCCAAATGTCCACATCCAGATACTACAGAAAGAGTATTTCAAACCTGCCCTATGAAAGGGAATGTTCAACTCTATGAGTTGAATGCAGACATCAGAAAGAAATTTCTGAGAATGCTGCTGTCTACCTTTTATTTGAATTCCCGCTTCCAACGAAATCCTCCAAGCTATCCAAATATCCACTTGCAGATTCCACAAAAAGAGTGTTTCAAAACTGCTCTCTATCAATGGCAAAGTTCAACTCTGTTAGTTGAGGACACATATCACCAACAAGTTTCTGAGAATGCTTCTGTCTATTTTTTATGGGAAGATATTTTCTTTTTCACCGTAGGCGTCAAGGCGATCGAAATGTCCACTTCCACAAACTACAAAAAGAGTGTTTCAAACCTGCTCTATGAAAGGCGATGTTCATCTCTATGAGTTGAATGGAAATATCCGAAAGAAATTTCTGGGAATGCTGCTGTCTAGTTTTTATACGAATTCCCGCTTCCAACGAAATCCTCAAAGCAATCCAAATATCCACTTGCAGAATCCACAAAAAGAGTGTTTCAAAACTGCTCTATCAATAGAAAGGTTCAACTCTTTTAGTTGAGTACACACATCACAAACAAGTTTCTGAGAATGCTTCTGTCTGGCTTTTATTGGAAGACGTTTCCTTTTCACCAAAGGCATCAAAGCGCTCCAAATGTCCACTTCCAGATTCTTCCAAAAGAGTGTTTCAAACGTGCTCAAAGTAAGGGAATGCTCAACTCTTTGACTTGAATGCAGATATCACCAAGTAGTTTCTAATAGTGCTTCTGTCTACATTTTAGATGATGATATTCCCGTTTCCAACGAAATCGTTAGATCTATCCAAATATCCAGTTACAGTTTCTACCAAAAGGGTGTTTCCAAATTGCTGCATCAAAAGAAAGGTTCAACTCTGTTAGTTGAGGACACACATCACAAAGAAGTTTGTGAGAATGCTTCTGTCTAGATTTTGTATGACGATATTCCCTTTTCCAACGATTATCGTTAAAGCAATCTAAATATCAATTTGCAGAATCCACAAAAATAGAGTTTCAAAGCTGCTCTGTAAAAAGAAAGGTTCCACTCTGTTAGCTGAGTACACACATCACAAACTTGTTTCTGAGAATCCTTCTGTCTCGTTTTTATGGGAAGATATTTACTTTTTCACCGTAGGCATCAAAGCGCTCCAAATGTCCACATCCAGATACTCCAGAAAGAGTGTTTCAAACCTGCTCTATGAAAGGGAATCTTCAACTCTATGAGTTGAATGCAGACATCAGAAAGAAATTTCTGAGAATGCTCTGTCTACCTTTTATTTGAATTCCCGCTTCCAACGAAATCCTCCAAGCTATCCAAATATCCACCTGCATTTTCCACAAAAAGAGCGTTTCAAAACTGCTCTATCAATAGAAATGTTCAACTCCTTTGGCTGGGTACACACATCACAAACAAGTTTCTGAGAATGCTTTCTGTCTAGTTTTTATGGGAAGACATTCCCTTTTTCACCAAAGACATCAAAGCGCTCCAAATGTCCACTTCCAGACACTACAAAAAGAGTGTTTCAAACGTGCTCTAAGAAAGCGAATGTTCAACTCTGTGACTTGAATGCAGATATCACAAAGTAGTTTCTGAGAGTGCTTCTGTCTAGATTTTAGATGATGATATTCCCGTTTCCAACGAAATCATTAGAGCTATCCAAATATCCACTTACAGTTTCTACAAAAAGAGTGTTTCCAAACTGCTGCATCAAAAGAGAGGTTCCACTCTGTTAGCTGAGTACACACATCACAAACTTGTTTCTCAGAATCCTTCTGTCTCGTTTTTATGGGAAGATATTTACTTTTTCACCGTAGGCATCAAAGCGCTCCAAATGTCCACATCCAGATACTCCAGAAAGAGTGTTTCAAACCTGCTCTATGAAAGGGGATCTTCAACTCTATGAGTTGAATGCAGACATCAGAAAGAAATTTCTGAGAATGCTGCTGTCTACTTTTATTTGAATTCCCGCTTCCAACGAAATCCTCCAAGCTATCCAAATATCCACTTGCAGATTCCACAAAAAGAGTGTTTCAAAACTGCTCTCTATCAATGGCAAAGTTCAACTCTGTTAGTTGAGGACACATATCACCAACAAGTTTCTGAGAATGCTTCTGTCTATTTTTTATGGGAAGATATTTCCTTTTTCAGCGTAGGCGTCAAGGCGATCGAAATGTCCACTTCCACAAACTACAAAAAGAGTGTTTCAAACCTGCTCTATGAAAGGCCATGTTCATCTCTATGAGTTGAATGGAAATATCCGAAAGAAATTTCTGGGAATGCTGCTGTCTAGTTTTTATATGAATTCCCGCTTCCAATGAAATCCTCAAAGCAATCCAAATATCCACTTGCAGAATCCACAAAAAGAGTGTTTCAAAACTGCTCTATCAATAGAAAGGTTCAACTCTTTTAGTTGAGTACACACATCACCAACAAGTTTCTGAGAATGCTTCTGTCTGGCTTTTATTGGAAGACGTTTCCTTTTCACCAAAGGCATCAAAGCGCTCCAAATGTCCACTTCCAGATTCTTCCAAAAGAGTGTTTCAAACGTGCTCAAAGTAAGGGAATGTTCAACTCTGTGACTTGAATGCAGATATCACCAAGTAGTTTCTAATAGTGCTTCTGTCTAGATTTTAGATGATGATATTCCCGTTTCCAACGAAATCGTTAGAGCTATCCAAATATCCAGTTACAGTTTCTACAAAAAGAGTGTTTTCAAACTGCTGCATCAAAAGAAAGGTTCAACTCTGTTAGTTGAGGACACACATCACAAAGAAGTTTGTGAGAATGCTTCTGTCTAGATTTTGTATGAAGATATTCCCTTTTCCATCGATATCATTAAATCAACCCAAATATCAATTTGCAGAATCCACAGAAATAGAGTTTCAAAGCTGCTCTGTAAAAAGGTAGGATCCACTCTGTTAGCTGAGTACACACATCACAAACTTGTTTCTGAGAATCCTGCTGTCTACCTTTTATTTGAATTCCCGCTTCCAACGAAATCCTCCAAGCTATCCAAATATCCACTTGCATTTTCCACAACAAGAGTGTTTCAAAACTGCTCTATCAATAGAAATGTTCAACTCCTTTGGCTGGGTACACACATCACAAACAAGTTTCTGAGAATGCTTCTGCCTAGTTTTTATGGGAAGACATTCCCTTTTTCACCAAAGCCATCAAAGCGCTCCAAATGTCCACTTCCAGACACTACAAAAAGAGTGTTTCAAACGTGCTCTATGAAAGCGAATGTTCAACTCTGTGACTTGAATGCAGATATCACAGAGTAGTTTCTGAGAGTGCTTCTGTCTAGATTTTAGATGATGATATTCCCGTTTCCAACGAAATCATTAGAGCTATCCAAATATCCACTTACAGTTTCTACAAAAAGAGTGTTTCCAAACTGCTGCATCAAAAGAGAGGTTCCACTCTGTTAGCTGAGTACACACATCACAAACTTGTTTCTCAGAATCCTTCTGTCTAGTTTTTATGGGAAGATACTTACTTTTTCACCGTAGGTATCAAAGCGCTCCAAATGTCCACATCCAGATACTACAGAAAGAGTGTTTCAAACCTGCTCTATGAAAGGGAATCTTCAACTCTATGAGTTGAATGCAGACATCAGAAAGTAATTTCTGAGAATGCTGCTGTCTACCTTTTATTTGAATTCCCGCTTCCAACGAAATCCTCCAAGCTATCCAAATATCCACTTGCAGATTCCACAAAAAGAGCGTTTCAAAACTGCTCTATCAATAGAAAGGTTCAACTCTTTTAGTTGAGTACACACATCACAAACAAGTTTCTGAGAATGCTTCTGTCTATTTTTTATGGGAAGATATTTCCTTTTTCACCGTAGGCGTCAAGGCGATCGAAATGTCCACTTCCACAAACTACAAAAAGTGTGTTTCAAACCTGCTCTATGAAAGGCCATGTTCATCTCTATGAGTTGAATGGAAATATCCGAAAGAAATTTCTGGGAATGCTCTGTCTAGTGTTTATACGAATTCCCGCTTCCAACGAAATCCTCAAAGCAATCCAAATATCCACTTGCAGAATCCACAAAAAGAGTGTTTCAAAACTGCTCTATCAATAGAAAGGTTCAACTCTTTTAGTTGAGTACACACATCACGAACAAGTTTCTGAGAATGCTTTCTGTCTGGCTTTTATTGGAAGACGTTTCCTTTTCACCAAAGGCATCAAAGTGCTCCAAATGTCCACTTCCAGATTCTTCCAAAAGAGTGTTTCAAACGTGGTCGAAGTAAGGGAATGTTCAACTCTGTGACTTGAATGCAGATATCACCAAGTAGTTTCTAATAGTGCTTCTGTCTAGATTTTAGATGATGATATTCCCGTTTCCAAAGAAATCGTTAGAGCTATCCAAATATCCAGTTACAGTTTCTACCAAAAGGGTGTTTCCAAATTGCTGCATCAAAAGAAAGGTTCAACTCTGTTAGTTGAGGACACACATCACAAAGAAGTTTGTGAGAATGCTTCTGTCTAGATTTTGTATGACGATATTCTCTTTTCCAACGATATCGTTAAAGCAATCTAAATATCAATTTGCAGAATCCACAAAAATAGAGTTTCAAAGCTGCTCTGTAAAAAGAAAGGTTCCACTCTGTTAGCTGAGTACACACATCACAAACTTGTTTCTGAGAATCCTTCTGTCTCGTTTTTATGGGAAGATATTTACTTTTCCACCGTAGGCATCAAAGCGCTCCAAATGTCCACATCCAGATACTCCAGAACGAGTGTTTCAAACCTGCTCTATGAAAGGGAATCTTCAACTCTATGAGTTGAATGCAGACATCAGAAAGAAATTTCTGAGAATGCTTGCTGTCTACCTTTTATTTGAATTCCCGCTTCCAACGAAATCCTCCAAGCTATCCAAATATCCACCTGCATTTTCCACAAAAAGAGTGTTTCAAACCTGCTCTATCAATAGAAATGTTCAACTCCTTTGGCTGGGTACACACATCACAAACAAGTTTCTGAGAATGCTTCTGTCTAGTTTTTATGGGAAGACATTCCCTTTTTCACCAAAGGCAATTCAAAGCGCTCCAAATGTCCACTTCCAGACACTACAAAAAGAGTGTTTCAAACGTGCTCTAAGAAAGCGAATGTTCAACTCTGTGACTTGAATGCAGATATCACAAAGTAGTTTCTGAGAGTGCTTCTGTCTAGATTTTAGATGATGATATTCCCGTTTCCAACGAAATCATTAGAGCTATCCAAATATCCACTTACAGTTTCTACAAAAAGAGTGTTTCCAAACTGCTGCATCAAAAGAGAGGTTCCACTCTGTTAGCTGAGTACACACATCACAAACTTGTTTCTCAGAATCCTTCTGTCTCGTTTTTATGGGAAGATATTTACTTTTTCACCGTAGGCATCAAAGCGCTCCAAATGTCCACATCCAGATACTCCAGAAAGAGTGTTTCAAACCTGCTCTATGAAAGAGAATGTTCAACTCTATGAGTTGAATGCAGACATCAGAAAGAAATTTCTGAGAATGCTGCTGTCTACCTTTTATTTGAATTCCCGCTTCCAACGAAATCCTCCAAGCTATCCAAATATCCACTTGCAGATTCCACAAAAAGAGTGTTTCAAAACTGCTCTCTATCAATGGCAAAGTTCAACTCTGTTAGTTGAGGACACATATCACCAACAAGTTTCTGAGAATGCTTCTATTTTTTATGGGAAGATATTTCCTTTTTCACCGTAGGCGTCAAGGCGATCGAAATGTCCACTTCCACAAACTACAAAAAGAGTGTTTCAAACCTGCTCTATGAAAGGCCATGTTCATCTCTATGAGTTGAATGGAAATATCCGAAAGAAATTTCTGGGAATGCTGCTGTCTAGTTTTTATACGAATTCCCGCTTCCAACGAAATCCTCAAAGCAATCCAAATATCCACTTGCAGAATCCACAAAAAGAGTGTTTCAAAACTGCTCTATCAATAGAAAGGTTCAACTCTTTTAGTTGAGTACACGCATCACAAACAAGTTTCTGAGAATGCTTCTGTCTGGCTTTTATTGGAAGACGTTTCCTTTTCACCAAAGGCATCAAAGCGCTCCAAATGTCCACTTCCAGATTCTTCCAAAAGAGTGTTTCAAACGTGCTCGAAGTAAGGGAATGTTCAACTCTGTGACTTGAATGCAGATATCACCAAGTAGTTTCTAATAGTGCTTCTGTCTAGATTATAGATGATGATATTCCCGTTTCCAACGAAATCGCTAGAGCTATCCAAATATCCAGTTACAGTTTCTACCAAAAGGGTGTTTCCAAATTGCTGCATCAAAAGAAAGGTTCAACTCTGTTAGTTGAGGACACACGTCACAAAGAAGTTTGTGAGAATGCTTATGTCCAGATTTTGTATGACGATATTCCCTTTTCCAACGATATCGTTAAAGCAATCTAAATATCCATTTGCAGAATCCACAAAAATAGAGTTTCAAAGCTGCTCTGTAAAAAGAAAGGTTCCACTCTGTTAGCTGAGTACACACATCACAAACTTGTTTCTGAGAATCCTTCTGTCTCGTTTTTATGGGAAGATATTTACTTTTTCACCGTAGGCATCAAAGCGCTCCAAATGTCCACATCCAGATACTCCAGAAAGAGTGTTTCAAACCTGCTCTATGAAAGGGAATCTTCAACTCTATGAGTTGAATGCAGACATCAGAAAGAAATTTCTGAGAATGCTGCTGTCTACCTTTTATTTGAATTCCCGCTTCCAACGAAATCCTCCAAGCTATCCAAATATCCACTTGCATTTTCCACAAAAAGAGTGTTTCAAAACTGCTCTATCAATAGAAATGTTCAACTCCTTTGGCTGGGTACACACATCACAAACAAGTTTCTGAGAATGCTTCTGTCTAGTTTTTATGGGAAGACGTTCCCTTTTTCACCAAAGGCATCAAAGCGCTCCAAATGTCCACTTCCAGACACTACAAAACGAGTGTTTCCAACGTGCTCTAAGAAAGCGAATGTTCAACTCTGTGACTTGAATGCAGATATCACAAAGTAGTTTCTGAGAGGGCTTCTGTCTAGATTTTAGATGATGATATTCCCGTTTCCAACGAAATCATTAGAGCTATCCAAATATCCACTTACAGTTTCTACAAAAAGAGTGTTTCCAAACTGCTGCATCAAAAGAGAGGTTCCACTCTGTTAGCTGAGTACACACATCACAAACTTGTTTCTCAGAATCCTTCTGTCTCGTTTTTATGGGAAGATATTTACTTTTTCACCGTAGGCATCAAAGCGCTCCAAATGTCCACATCCAGATACTACAGAAAGAGTGTTTCAAACGTGCTCTATGAAAGGGAATCTTCAACTCTATGAGTTGAATGCAGACATCAGAAAGAAATTTCTGAGAATGCTGCTGTCTACCTTTTATTTGAATTCCCGCTTCCAACGAAATCCTCCAAGCTATCCAAATATCCACTTGCAGATTCCACAAAAAGAGTGTTTCAAAACTGCTCTCTATCAATGGCAAAGTTCAACTCTGTTAGTTGAGGACACATATCACCAACAAGTTTCTGAGAATGCTTCTGTCTATTTTTTATGGGAAGCTATTTCCTTTTTCACCGTAGGCGTCAAGGCGATCGAAATGTCCACTTCCACAAACTACAAAAAGAGTGTTTCAAACCTGCTCTATGAAAGGCCATGTTCATCTCTATGAGTCGAATGGAAATATCCGAAAGAAATTTCTGGGAATGCTGCTGTCTAGTTTTTATACGAATTCCCGCTTCCAACGAAATCCTCAAAGCAATCCAAATATCCACTTGCAGAATCCACAAAAAGAGTGTTTCAAAACTGCTCTATCAATAGAAAGGTTCAACTCTTTTAGTTGAGTACACACATCACAAACAAGTTTCTGAGAATGCTTCTGTCTGGCTTTTATTGGAAGACGTTTCCTTTTCACCAAAGGCATCAAAGCGCTCCAAATGTCCACTTCCAGATTCTTCCAAAAGAGTGTTTCAAGCGTGCTCAAAGTAAGGGAATGTTCAACTCTGTGACTTGAATGCAGATATCACCAAGTAGTTTCTAATAGTGCTTCTGTCTACATTTTAGATGATGATATTCCCGTTTCCAACGAAATCGCTAGAGCTATCCAAATATCCAGTTACAGTTTCTACCAAAAGGGTGTTTCCAAATTGCTGCATCAAAAGAAAGGTTCAACTCTGTTAGTTGAGGACACACATCACAAAGAAGTTTGTGAGAATGCTTCTGTTTAGATTTTGTATGACGATATTCCCTTTTCCAACGATATCGTTAATGCAAACCAAATATCAATTTGCAGAATCCACAAAAATAGAGTTTCAAAGCTGCTCTGTAAAAAGAAAGTTTCCACTCTGTTAGCTGAGTACACACATCACAAACTTGTTTCTGAGAATCCTTCTGTCTCGTTTTTATGGGAAGATATTTACTTTTTCACCGTAGACATCAAAGCGCTCCAAATGTCCACATCCAGATACTCCAGAAAGAGTGTTTCAAACCTGCTCTATGAAAGGGAATCTTCAACTCTATGAGTTGAATGCAGACATCAGAAAGAAATTTCTGAGAATGCTGCTGTCTACCTTTTATTTGAACTCCCGCTTCCAACGAAATCCTCCAAGCTATCCAAATATCCACTTGCATTTTCCACAAAAAGAGTGCTTCAAAACTGCTCTATCAATAGAAATGTTCAACTCCTTTAGCTGGGTGCACACATCACAAACAAGTTTCTGAGAATGCTTCTGTCTAGTTTTTATGGGTAGACATTCCCTTTTTCACCAAAGGAATCAAAGCGCTCCAAATGTCCACTTCCAGACACTACAAAAAGAGTGTTTCAAACGTGCTCTAAGAAAGCGAATGTTCAACTCTGTGACTTGAATGCAGATATCACACAGTAGTTTCTGAGAGTGCTTCTGTCTAGATTTTAGATGATGATATTCCCGTTTCCAACGAAATCATTAGAGCTATCCAAATATCCACTTACAGTTTCTACAAAAAGAGTGTTTCCAAACTGCTGCATCAAAAGAGAGTTTCCACTCTGTTAGCTGAGTACACACATCACAAACTTGTTTCTCAGAATCCTTCTGTCTCGTTTTTATGGGAAGATATTTACTTTTTCATCGTAGGCCTCAAAGCGCTCCAAATGTCCACATCCAGATACTACAGAAAGAGTATTTCAAACCTGCTCTATGAAAGGGAATGTTCAACTCTATGAGTTGAATGCAGACATCAGAAATAAATTTCTGAGAATGCTGCTGTCTACCCTTTATTTGAATTCCCGCTTCCAACGAAATCCTCCAAGCTATCCAAATATCCACTTGCAGATTCCACAAAAAGAGTGTTTCAAAACTGCTCTCTATCAATGGCAAAGTTCAACTCTGTTAGTTGAGGACACATATCACCAACAAGTTTCTGAGAATGCTTCTGTCTATTTTTTATGGGAAGATATTTCCTTTTTCACCGTAGGCGTCAACGCGATCGAAATGTCCACTTCCACAAACTACAAAAAGAGTGTTTCAAACCTGCTCTATGAAAGGCCAAGTTCATCTCTATGAGTTGAATGGAAATATCCGAAAGAAATTTCTGGGAATGCTGCTGTCTAGTGTTTATACGAATTCCCGCTTCCAACGAAATCCTCAAAGCAATCCAAATATCCACTTGCAGAATCCACAAAAAGAGTGTTTCAAAACTGCTCTATCAATAGAAAGGTTCAACTCTTTTAGTTGAGTACACACATCACGAACAAGTTTCTGAGAATGCTTCTGTCTGGCTTTTATTGGAAGACGTTTTCTTTTCACCAAAGGCATCATCAAAGCGCTACAAATGTCCACTTCCAGATTCTTCCAAAAGAGTGTTTCAAACGTGCTCAAAGTAAGGGAATGTTCAACTCTTTGACTTGAATGCAGATATCACCAAGTAGTTTCTAATAGTGCTTCTGTCTAGCATTTTAGATGATGATATTCCCGTTTCCAACGAAATCGTTAGAGCTATCCAAATATCCAGTTACAGTTTCTACCAAAAGGGTGTTTCCAAATTGCTGCATCAAAAGAAAGGTTCAACTCTGTTAGTTGAGGACACACATCACAAAGAAGTTTGTGAGAATGCTTCTGTCTAGATTTTGTATGACGATATTCCCTTTTCCAACGATATCGTTAAAGCAATCTAAATATCAATTTGCAGAATCCACAGAAATAGAGTTTCAAAGCTGCTCTGTAAAAAGAAAGGTTCCACTCTGTTAGCTGAGTACACACATCACAAACTTGTTTCTGAGAATCCTGCTGTCTACCTTTTATTTGAATTCCCGCTTCCAACGAAATCCTCCAAGCTATCCAAATATCCACCTGCATTTTCCACAAAAAGAGTGTTTCAAACGTGCTCTATCAATAGAAATGTTCAACTCCTTTGGCTGGGTACACACATCACAAACAAGTTTCTGAGAATGCTTCTGTCTAGTTTTTATGGGAAGACATTTCCTTTTTCACCAAAGGCATCAAAGAGCTCCAAATGTCCACTTCCAGATACTACAAAAAGAGTGTTTCAAAAGTGCTCTAAGAAAGCGAATGTTCAACTCTGTGACTTGAATGCAGATATCACAAAGTAGTTTCTGAGAGTGCTTCTGTCTAGTTTTTACATGATGATATTCCCGTTTCCAACGAAATCATCAGAGCTATCCAAATATCCACTTACAGTTTCTACAAAAAGAGTGTTTCCAAACTGCTGCATCAAAAGAGAGGTTCCACTCTGTTAGCTGAGTACACACATCACAAACTTGTTTCTGAGAATCCTTCTGTGTCGATTTTATGGGAAGATATTTACTTTTTCACCGTAGGCATCAAAGCGCTCCAAATGTCCACATCCAGATACTCCAGAAAGAGTGTTTCAAACCTGCTCTATGAAAGGGAATCTTCAACTCTATGAGTTGAATGCAGACATCAGAAAGAAATTTCTGAGAATGCTGCTGTCTACCTTTTATTTGAATTCCCGCTTCCAACGAAATCCTCCAAGCTATCCAAATATCCACTTGCAGATTCCACAAAAAGAGTGTTTCAAAACTGCTCTCTATCAATGGCAAAGTTCAACTCTGTTAGTTGAGGACACATATCACCAACAAGTTTCTGAGAATGCTTCTGTCTATTTTTTATGGGAAGATATTTCCTTTTTCACCGTAGGCGTCAAGGCGTTCGAAATGTCCACTTCCACAAACTACAAAAAGAGTGTTTCAAACCTGCTCTATGAAAGGCCATGTTCATCTCTATGAGTTGAATGGAAATATCCGAAAGAAATTTCTGGGAATGCTGCTGTCTAGTGTTTATACGAATTCCCGCTTCCAACGAAATCCTCAAAGCAATCCAAATATCCACTTGCAGAATCCACAAAAAGAGTGTTTCAAAACTGCTCTATCAATAGAAAGGTTCAACTCTTTTAGTTGAGTACACACATCACGAACAAGTTTCTGAGAATGCTTCTGTCTGGCTTTTACTGGAAGACGTTTCCTTTTCACCAAAGGCATCAAAGCGCTCCAAATGTCCACTTCCAGATTCTTCCAAAAGAGTGTTTCAAACGTGGTCGAAGTAAGGGAATGTTCAACTCTGTGACTTGAATGCAGATATCACCAAGTAGTTTCTAATAGTGCTTCTGTCTAGATTTTAGATGATGATATTCCCGTTTCCAACGAAATCGTTAGAGCTATCCAAATATCCACTTACAGTTGCTACAAAAACAGTGTTTCCAAACTGCTGCATCAAAAGAAAGGTTCAACTCTGTTAGTTGAGGACACACGTCACAAAGAAGTTTGTGAGAATGCTTCTGTCTAGATTTTGTATGACGATATTCCCTTTTCCAACGATATCGTTAAAGCAATCTAAATATAAATTTGCAGAATCCACAAAAATAGAGTTTCAAAGCTGCTCTGTAAAAAGAAAGGTTCCACTCTGTTAGCTGAGTACACACATCACAAACTTGTTTCTGAGAATCCTTCTGTCTCGTTTTTATGGGAAGATATTTACTTTTCCAACGTAGGCATCAAAGCGCTCCAAATGTCCACATCCAGATACTCCAGAACGAGTGTTTCAAACCTGCTCTATGAAAGGGAATCTTCAACTCTATGAGTTGAATGCAGACATCAGAAAGAAATTTCTGAGAATGCTGCTGTCTACCTTTTATTTGAATTCCCGCTTCCAACGAAATCCTCCAAGTATCCAAATATCCACCTGCATTTTCCACAACAAGAGTGTTTCACAACTGCTCTATCAATTTAAATGTTCAACTCCTTTGGCTGGGTACACACATCACAAACAAGTTTCTGAGAATGCTTCTGTCTAGTTTTTATGGGTAGACATTCCCTTTTTCACCAAAGGCATCAAAGCGCTCCAAATGTCCACTTCCAGACACTACAAAAAGAGTGTTTCAAACGTGCTCTAAGAAACCGAATGTTCAACTCTGTGACTTGAATGCAGATATCACAAAGTAGTTTCTGAGAGGGCTTCTGTCTAGATTTTAGATGATGATATTCCCGTTTTCAACGAAATCATTAGAGCTATCCAAATATCCACTTACAGTTTCTACAAAAAGAGTGTTTCCAAACTGCTGCATCAAAAGAGAGGTTCCACTCTGTTAGCTGAGTACACACATCACAAACTTGTTTCTCAGAATCCTTCTGTCTCGTTTTTATGGGAAGATATTTACTTTTTCACTGTAGGCATCAAAGCGCTCCAAATGTCCTCATCCAGATACTACAGAAAGAGTATTTCAAACCTGCCCTATGAAAGGGAATGTTCAACTCTATGAGTTGAATGCAGAGATCAGAAAGAAATTTCTGAGAATGCTGCTGTCTACCTTTTATTTGAATTCCCGCTTCCAACGAAATCCTCCAAGCTATCCAGATATCCACTTGCAGATTCCACAAAAAGAGTGTTTCAAAACTGCTCTCTATCAATGGCAAAGTTCAACTCTGTTAGTTGAGGACACATATCACCAACAAGTTTCTTAGAATGCTTCTGTCTATTTTTTATGGGAAGATATTTCCTTTTTCACCGTAGGCGTCAAGGCGATCGAAATGTCCACTTCCACAAACTACAAAAAGAGTGTTTCAAACCTGCTCTATGAAAGGCCATGTTCATCTCTATGAGTTGAATGGAAATATCCGAAAGAAATTTCTGGGAATGCTGCTGTCTAGTTTTTATACGAATTGCCGCTTCCAACGAAATCCTCAAAGCAATCCAAATATCCACTTGCAGAATCCACAAAAAGAGTGTTTCAAAACTGCTCTATCAATAGAAAGGTTCAACTCTTTTAGTTGAGTACACACATCACAAACAAGTTTCTGAGAATGCTTCTGTCTGGCTTTTATTGGAAGACGTTTCCTTTTCACCAAAGGCATCAAAGCGCTCCAAATGTCCACTTCCAGATTCTTCCAAAAGAGTGTTTCAAACGTGCTCAAAGTAAGGGAATGTTCAACTCTGTGACTTGAATGCAGATATCACCAAGTAGTTTCTAATAGTGCTTCTGTCTAGATTTTAGATGATGATATTCCCGTTTCCAACGAAATCGTTAGAGCTATCCAAATATCCACTTACAGTTTCTACCAAAAGAGTGTTTCCAAACTGCTGCATCAAAAGAAAGGTTCAACTCTGTTAGTTGAGGACACACATCACAAAGAAGTTTGTGAGAATGCTTCTGTCCAGATTTTGTATGACGATATTCCCTTTTCCAACGATATCGTTAAAGCAATCTAAATATCCATTTGCAGAATCCACAAAAATAGAGTTTCAAAGCTGCTCTGTAAAAAGAAAGGTTCCACTCTGTTAGCTGAGTACACACATCACAAACTTGTTTCTGAGAATCCTTCTGTCTCGTTTTTATGGGAAGATATTTACTTTTCCACCGTAGGCATCAAAGCGCTCCAAATGTCCACATCCAGATACTGCAGAACGAGTGTTTCAAACCTGCTCCATTAAAGGGAATCTTCAACTCTATGAGTTGAATGCAGACATCAGAAAGAAATTTCTGAGAATGCTGCTGTCTACCTTTTATTTGAATTCCCGCGTCCAACGAAATCCTCCAAGCTATCCAAATATCCACCTGCATTTTCCACAAAAAGAGCGTTTCAAAACTGCTCTATCAATAGAAATGTTCAACTCCTTTGGCTGGGTACACACATCACAAACAAGTTTCTGAGAATGCTTCTGTCTAGTTTTTATGGGTAGACATTCCCTTTTTCACCAAAGGAATCAAAGCGCTCCAAATGTCCACTTCCAGACACTACAAAAAGAGTGTTTCAAACGTGCTCTAAGAAACCGAATGTTCAACTCTGTGACTTGAATGCAGATATCACAAAGTAGTTTCTGAGAGTGCTTCTGTCTAGATTTTAGATGATGATATTCCCGTTTCCAACGAAATCATTAGAGCTATCCAAATATCCACTTACAGTTTCTACAAAAAGAGTGTTTCCAAACTGCTGCATCAAAAGAGAGGTTCCACTCTGTTAGCTGAGTACACACATCACCAACTTGTTTCTGAGAATCCTTCTGTCTCGTTTTTATGGGAAGATATTTACTTTTTCATCGTAGGCATCAAAGCGCTCCAAATGTCCACATCCAGATACTACAGAAAGAGTATTTCAAACCTGCTCTATGAAAGGGAATGTTCAACTCTATGAGTTGAATGCAGACATCAGAAAGAAATTTCTGAGAATGCTGCTGTCTACCTTTTATTTGAATTCCCGCTTCCAACGAAATCCTCCAAGCTATCCAAATATCCACTTGCAGATTCCACAAAAAGAGTGTTTCAAAACTGCTCTCTATCAATGGCAAAGTTAAACTCTGTTAGTTGAGGACACATATCGCCAACAAGTTTCTGAGAATGCTTCTGTCTATTTTTTATGGGAAGATATTTCCTTTTTCACCGTAGGCGTCAAGGCGATCGAAATGTCCACTTCCACAAACTACAAAAAGAGTGTTTCAAACCTGCTCTATGAAAGGCCATGTTCATCTCTATGAGTTGAATGGAAATATCCGAAAGAAATTTCTGGGAATGCTGCTGTCTAGTGTTTATACGAATTCCCGCTTCCAACGAAATCTTCAAAGCAATCCAAATATCCACTTGCAGAATCCACAAAAAGAGTGTTTCAAAACTGCTCTATCAATAGAAAGGTTCAACTCTTTTAGTTGAGTACACACATCACGAACAAGTTTCTGAGAATGCTTCTGTCTGGCTTTTATTGGAAGACGTTTCCTTTTCACCAAAGGCATCAAAGCGCTCCAAATGTCCACTTCCAGATTCTTCCAAAAGAGTGTTTCAAACGTGCTCAAGTAAGGGAATGTTCAACTCTGAGACTTGAATGCAGATATCACCAAGTAGTTTCTAATAGTGCTTCTGTCTAGATTTTAGATGATGATATTCCCGTTTCCAACGAAATCGTTAGAGCTATCCAAATATCCAGTTACAGTTTCTACAAAAAGAGTGTTTCCAAACTGCTGCATCAAAAGAAAGGTTCAACTCTGTTAGATGAGGACACACATCACAAAGAAGTTTGTGAGAATGCTTCTGTCTAGATTTTGTATGACGATATTCCCTTTTCCAACGATATCGTTAAAGCAATCTAAATATCAATTTGCAGAATCCACAAAAATAGCGTTTCAAAGCTGCTCTGTAAAAAGAAAGGTTCCACTCTGTTAGCTGAGAACACACATCACAAACTTGTTTCTGAGAATCCTTCTGTCTCGTTTTTATGGGAAGATATTTACTTTTCCACCGTAGGCATCAAAGCGCTCCAAATGTCCACATCCAGATACTCCAGAACGAGTGTTTCAAACCTGCTCTATGAAAGGGAATCTTCAACTCTATGAGTTGAATGCAGACATCAGAAAGAAATTTCTGAGAATGCTGCTGTCTACCTTTTATTTGAATTCCCGCTTCCAACGAAATCCTCCAAGCTATCCAAATATCCACCTGCATTTTCCACAAAGAGAGTGTTTCAAAACTGCTCTATCAATAGAAATGTTCAACTCCTTTGGCTGGGTACACACATCACAAACAAGTTTCTGAGAATGCTTCTGTCTAGTTTTTATGGGAAGACATTCCCTTTTTCACCAAAGGCATCAAAGCGCTCCAAATGTCCACTTCCAGACACTACAAAAAGAGTGTTTCAAACGTGCTCTAAGAAAGCGAATGTTCAACTCTGTGGCTTGAATGCAGATATCACAAAGTAGTTTCTGAGAGGGCTTCTGTCTAGATTTTAGATGATGATATTCCCGTTTCCAACGAAATCATTAGAGCTATCCAAATATCCACTTACAGTTTCTACAAAAAGAGTGTTTCCAAACTGCTGCATCAAAAGAGAGGTTCCACTCTGTTAGCTGAGTACACACATCACAAACTTGTTTCTCAGAATCCTTCTGTCTCGTTTTTATGGGAAGATATTTACTTTTCCACCGTAGGCATCAAAGCGCTCCAAATGTCCACATCCAGATACTCCAGAAAGAGTGTTTCAAACCTGCTCTATGAAAGGGAATCTTCAACTCTATGAGTTGAATGCAGACATCAGAAAGAAATTTCTGAGAATGCTGCTGTCTACCTTTTATTTGAATTCCCGCTTCCAACGAAATCCTCCAAGCTATCCAAATATCCACTTGCAGATTCCACAAAAAGAGTGTTTCAAAACTGCTCTCTATCAATGGCAAATTTCAACTCTGTTAGTTGAGGACACATATCACCAACAAGTTTCTGAGAATGCTTCTGTCTATTTTTTATGGGAAGATATTTCCTTTTTCACCGTAGGCGTCAAGGCGATCGAAATGTCCACTTCCACAAACTACAAAAAGAGTGTTTCAAACCTGCTCTATAAAAGGCGATGTTCATCTCTATGAGTTGAATGGAAATATCCGAAAGAAATTTCTGGGAATGCTGCTGTCTAGTTTTTATACGAATTCCCGCTTCCAACGAAATCCTCAAAGCAATCCAAATATCCACTTGCAGAATCCACAAAAAGAGTGTTTCAAAACTGCGCTATCAATAGAAAGGTTCAACTCTTTTAGTTGAGTACACACATCACAAACAAGTTTCTGAGAATGCTCTGTCTGGCTTTTATTGGAAGACGTTTCCTTTTCACCAAAGGCATCAAAGCGCTCCAAATGTCCACTTCCAGATTCTTCCAAAAGAGTGTTTCAAACGTGGTCGAAGTAAGGGAATGTTCAACTCTGTGACTTGAATGCAGATATCACCAAGTAGTTTCTAATAGTGCTTTCTGTGTATACTTTAGATGAAGATATTCCCGTTTCCAACGATATCGTTAGACCTATCCAAATATCCACTTACAGTTTCTACAAAAAGTGTGTTTCCAAACTGCTGCATCAAAAGAAAGGTTCAACTCTGTGAGTTGAGGACACACAACACAAAGAAGTTTCTGAGAAAGCTTCTGTCTAGATTTTGTATGACGATATTCCCTTTTCCAACGATATCGTTAAAGCAATCTAAATATCCATTTGCAGAATCCACAAAAATAGAGTTTCAAAGCTGCTCTGTAAAAAGAAAGGTTCCACTCTGTTAGCTGAGTACACACATCACAAACCTTGTTTCTCAGAATCCTGCTGTCTACCTTTTATTTGAATTCCTGCTTCCAACGAAATCCTCCAAGCTATCCAAATATCCACCTGCATTTTCCACAAAAAGAGCGTTTCAAAACTGCTCTATCAATAGAAATGTTCAACTCCTTTGGCTGGGTACACACATCACAAACAAGTTTCTGAGAATGCTTCTGTCTAGTTTTTATGGGAAGACATTTCTTTTTTCACCAAAGGCATCAAAGAGCTCCAAATGTCCACTTCCAGATACTACAAAAAGAGTGTTTCAAAAGTGCTCTAAGAAAGCGAATGTTCAACTCTGTGACTTGAATGCAGATATGAAAAAGTAGTTTCTGAGAGTGCTTCTCTCTAGATTTTAGATGATGATATTCCCGTTTCCAACGAAATCATTAGAGCTATCCAAATATCCCCTTACAGTTTCTACAAAAAGGGTGTTTCCAAACTACTGCATCAAAAGAGAGGTTCCACTCTGTTAGCTGAGTACACACATCACAAACTTGTTTCTCAGAATCCTCTGTCTCGTTTTTATGGGAAGATATTTACTTTTCCACCGTAGGCATCAAAGCGCTCCAAATGTCCACATCCAGATACTCCAGAACGAGTGTTTCAAACCTGCTCTATGAAAGGGAATCTTCAACTCCTATGAGTTGAATGCAGACATCAGAAAGAAATTTCTGAGAATGCTGGCTGTCTACCTTTTATTTGAATTCCCGCTTCCAACGAAATCCTCCAAGCTATCCAAATATCCACTTGCAGATTCCACAAAAAGAGTGTTTCAAAACTGCTCTCTATCAATGGCAAAGTTCAACTCTGTTAGTTGAGGACACATATCACCAACAAGTTTCTGAGAATGCTTCTGTCTATTTTTTATGGGAAGATATTTCCTTTTTCACCGTAGGCGTCAAGGCGATCGAAATGTCCACTTCCACAAACTACAAAAAGAGTGTTTCAAACCTGCTCTATGAAAGGCCATGTTCATCTCTATGAGTTGAATGGAAATATCCGAAAGAAATTTCTGGGAATGCTGCTGTCTAGTGTTTATACGAATTCCCGCTTCCAACGAAATCCTCAAAGCAATCCAAATATCCACTTGCAGAATCCACAAAAAGAGTGTTTCAAAACCGCTCTATCAATAGAAAGGTTCAACTCTTTTAGTTGAGTACACACATCACAAACAAGTTTCTGAGAATGCTTCTGTCTGGCTATTATTGGAAGACGTTTCCTTTTCACCAAAGTCATCATCAAAGCGCTCCAAATGTCCACTTCCAGATTCTTCCAAAAGAGTGTTTGAAACGTGCTCAAAGTAAGGGAATGTTCAACTCTGTGACTTGAATGCAGATATCACCAAGTAGTTTCTAATAGTGCTTTTTAGATGAAGATATTCCCGTTTCCAACGAAATCGTTAGAGCTATCCAAATATCCACTTACAGTTTCTACAAAAAGAGTGTTTCCAAACTGCTGCATCAAAAGAAAGGTTCAACTCTGTTAGTTGAGGACACACATCACAAAGAAGTTTGTGAGAATGCTTCTGTCTAGATTTTGTATGAAGATATTCCCTTTTCCAACGATGTCGTTAAATCAACCCAAATATCAATTTGCAGAATCCACAGAAATAGAGTTTCAAAGCTGCTCTGTAAAAAGAAAGGATCCACTCTGTTAGCTGAGTTCACACATCACAAACTTGTTTCTGAGAATCTTGCTGTCTAAATTTTATTTGAATTCCCGCTTCCAACGAAATCCTCCAAGCTATCCAAATATCCACCTGCATTTTCCACAAAAAGAGCGTTTCAAAACTGCTCTATCAATAGAAATGTTCAACTCCTTTGGCTGGGTACACACATCACAAACAAGTTTCTGAGAATGCTTCTGTCTAGTTTTTATGGGTAGACATTCCCTTTTTCACCAAAGGAATCAAAGCGCTCCAAATGTCCACTTCCAGACACTACAAAAAGAGTGTTTCAAACGTGCTCTAAGAAAGCGAATGTTCAACTCTGTGACTTGAATGCAGATATCACAAAGTAGTTTCTGAGAGGGCTTCTGTCTCGATTTTAGATGATGATATTCCCGTTTCCAACGAAATCATTAGAGCTATCCAAATATCCACTTACAGTTTCTACAAAAAGAGTGTTTCCAAACTGCTGCATCAAAAGTGAGGTTCCACTCTGTTAGCTGAGTACACACATCACAAACTTGTTTCTGAGAATCCTTCTGTCTAGCTTTTATGGGAAGATATTTAATTTTTCACCGTAGGCATCAAAGCGTTCCAAATGTCCACATCCAGATAGTACAGAAAGAGTGTTTCAAACCTGCTCTATGAAAGGGAATGTTCAACTCTATGAGTTGAATGCAAACATCACAAAGAAATTTCTGAGAATGCTGCTGTCTACCTTTCATTTGAATTCCCGCTTCCAACGAAATCCTCCAGGCTATCCAAATATCCACTTGCAGATTCCACAAAAAGAGGGTTTCTAAACTGCTCTATCAATGGCAAGGTTCAACTCTGTCAGTTGAGGATACACATCACAAACAAGTTTCTGAGAATTCTTCTGTCTATTTTTTATGGGAAGATATTTCCTTTTTCACCGTAGGCGTCAAGGCGATCGAAATGTCCACTTCCACAAACTACAAAAAGAGTGTTTCAAACCTGCTCTATGAAAGGCCATGTTCATCTCTATGAGTTGAATGGAAATATCCGAAAGAAATTTCTGGGAATGCTGCTGTCTAGTTTTTATACGAATTCCCGCTTCCAACGAAATCCTCAAAGCAATCCAAATATCCACTTGCAGAATCCACAAAAAGAGTGTTTCAAAACTGCTCTATCAATAGAAAGGTTCAACCCTTTTAGTTGAGTACACACATCACGAACAAGTTTCTGAGAATGCTTCTGTCTGGCTTTTATTGGAAGACGTTTCCTTTTCACCAAAGGCATCAAAGCGCTCCAAATGTCCACTTCCAGATTCTTCCAAAAGAGTGTTTGAAACGTGCTCAAAGTAAGGGAATGTTCAACTCTGTGACTTGAATGCAGATATCACCAAGTAGTTTCTAATAGTGCTTCTGTGTATACTTTAGATGAAGATATTCCCGTTTCCAACGATATCGTTAGACCTATCCAAATATCCACTTACAGTTTCTACAAAAAGAGTGTTTCCAAACTGCTGCATCAAAAGAAAGGTTCAAGTCTGTTAGTTGAGGACACACATCACAAAGAAGTTTCTGAGAAAGCTTCTGTCTAGATTTTGTATGAAGATATTCCCTTTTCCAACGATGTCGTTAAATCAACCCAAATGTCAATTTGCAGAATCCACAGAAATAGAGTTTCAAAGCTGCTCTGTAAAAAGAAAGGATCCACTCTGTTAGCTGAGTACACACATCACAAACTTGTTTCTGAGAATCCTTCTGTCTAGTTTTTATGGGAAGATATTTACTTTTTCACCGTAGGTATCAAAGCGCTCCAAATGTCCACATCCAGATACTACAGAAAGAGTGTTTCAAACCTGCTCTATGAAAGGGAATCTTCAACTCTATGAGTTGAATGCAGACAACAGAAAGTAATTTCTGAGAATGCTGCTGTCTACCTTTCATTTGAATTCCCGCTTCCGACGAAATCCTCCAAGCTATCCAAATATTCACTTGCAGATTCCACAAAAAGAGTGTTTCAAAACTACTCTATCAATAGAAAGGTACAACTCTGTCAGTTGAGGACACACATCACAAACAAGTTTCTGAGAATTCTTCAATTTTTTATGGGAAGACATTTCCTTTTTCACCGTAGGCGTCAAAGCGCTCCAAATGTCCACATCCGGATAGTACAGAAAGAGTGTTTCAAACCTGCTCTATTAAAGGGAATGTTCAACTCTATGAGTTGAATGCAAACATCAGAAAGAAATTTCTGAGAATGCTTCTGTCTAGATTTTAGATGATGATATTCCCGTTTCCAACGAAATCATTAGAGCTATCCAAATATCCACTTACAGTTTCTACAAAAAGAGTGTTTCCAAACTGCTGCATCAAAAGAGAGGTTCCACTCTGTTAGCCCGAGTACACACATCACAAACTTGTTTCTCAGAATCCTTCTGTCTCGTTTTTATGGGAAGATATTTACTTTTTCACCGTAGGCATCAAAGCGCTTCAAATGTCCACATCCAGATACTCCAGAAAGAGTGTTTCAAACCTGCTCTATGAAAGGGAATCTTCAACTCTATGAGTTGAATGCAGACATCAGAAAGAAATTTCTGAGAATGCTGCTGTCTACCTTTTATTTGAATTCCCGCTTCCAACGAAATCCTCCAAGCTATCCAAATATCCACTTGCAGATTCCACAAAAAGAGTGTTTCAAAACTGCTCTCTATCAATGGCAAAGTTCAACTCTGTTAGTTGAGGACACATATCACCAACAAGTTTCTGAGAATGCTTCTGTCTATTTTTTATGGGAAGATATTTCCTTTTTCACGGTAGGCGTCAAGGCGATCGAAATGTCCACTTCTACAAACTACAAAAAGAGTGTTTCAAACCTGCTCTATGAAAGGCCATGTTCATCTCTATGAGTTGAATGGAAATATCCGAAAGAAATTTCTGGGAATGCTGCTGTCTAGTGTTTATACGAATTCCCGCTTCCAACGAAATCCTCAAAGCAATCCAAATATCCACTTGCAGAATCCACAAAAAGAGTGTTTCAAAACTGCTCTATCAATAGAAAGGTTCAACTCTTTTAGTTGAGTACACACATCACGAACAAGTTTCTGAGAATGCTTCTGTCTGTCTTTTATTGGAAGACGTTTCCTTTTCACCAAAGGCATCAAAGCGCTCCAAATGTCCACTTCCAGATTCTTCCAAAAGAGTGTTTCAAACGTGCTCAAAGTAAGGGAATGTTCAACTCTGTGACTTGAATGCAGATATCACCAAGTAGTTTCTAATAGTGCTTCTGTCTAGATTTTAGATGATGATATTCCCGTTTCCAACGAAATCGTTAGAGCTATCCAAATATCCACTTACAGTTTCTACAAAAAGAGTGTTTCCAAACTGCTGCATCAAAAGAAAGGTTCAACTCTGTTAGTTGAGGAGACACATCACAAAGAAGTTTGTGAGAATGCTTCTGTCTAGATTTTGTATGACGATATTCCCTTTTCCAACGATATCGTTAAAGCAATCTAAATATCAATTTGCAGAATCCACAAAAATAGAGTTTCAAAGCTGCTCTGTAAAAAGAAAGGTTCCACTCTGTTAGCTGAGTACACACATCACAAACTTCTTTCTGAGAATCCTTCTGTCTCGTTTTTATGGGAAGATATTTACTTTTTCACCGTAGGCATCAAAGCGCTCCAAATGTCCACATCCAGATACTCCAGAAAGAGTGTTTCAAACCTGCTCTATGAAAGGGAATCTTCAACTCTATGAGTTGAATGCAGACATCAGAAAGAAATTTCTTAGAATGCTGCTGTCTACCTTTTATTTGAATTCCCGCTTCCAACGAAATCCTCCAAGCTATCCAAATATCCACCTGCATTTTCCACAAAAAGAGTGTTTCAAACCTGCTCTATCAATAGAAATGTTCAACTCCTTTGGCTGGGTACACACATCACAAACAAGTTTCTGAGAATGCTCTGTCTAGTTTTTATGGGTAGACATTCCCTTTTTCACCAAAGGAATCAAAGCGCTCCAAATGTCCACTTCCAGACACTACAAAAAGAGTGTTTCCAACGTGCTCTAAGAAAGCGAATGTTCAACTCTGTGACTTGAATGCAGATATCACAAAGTAGTTTCTGAGAGGGCTTTCTGTCTAGGTTTTAGATGATGATATTCCCGTTTCCAACGAAATCATTAGAGCTATCCAAATATCCACTTACGGTTTCTACAAAAAGAGTGTTTCCAAACTGCTGCATCAAAAGAGAGGTTCCACTCTGTTAGCTGAGTACACACATCACAAACTTGTTTCTGAGAATCCTTCTGTCTCGTTTTTCTGGGAAGATATTTACTTTTTCACCGTAGGCATCAAAGCGCTCCAAATGTCCACATCCAGATACTCCAGAAAGAGTGTTTCAAACCTGCTCTATGAAAGGGAATCTTCAACTCTATGAGTTGAATGCAGACATCAGAAAGAAATTTCTGAGAATGCTGCTGTCTACCTTTTATTTGAATTCCCGCTTGCAACGAAATCCTCCAAGCTATCCAAATATCCACTTGCAGATTCCACAAAAAGAGTGTTTCAAAACTGCTCTCTATCAATGGCAAGGTTCAACTCTGTTAGTTGAGGACACATATCACCAACAAGTTTCTGAGAATGCTTCTGTCTATTGTTTATGGGAAGATATTTCCTTTTTCACCGTAGGCGTCAAGGCGATCGAAATGTCCACTTCCACAAACTACAAAAAGAGTGTTTCAAACCTGCTCTATGAAAGGCGATGTTCATCTCTATGAGTTGAATGGAAATATCCGAAAGAAATTTACTGGGAATGCTGCTGTCTAGTGTTTATACGAATTCCCGCTTCCAACGAAATCCTCAAAGCAATCCAAGTATCCACTTGCAGAATCCACAAAAAGAGTGTTTCAAAACTGCTCTATCAATAGAAAGGTTCAACTCTTTTAGTTGAGTACACACATCACGAACAAGTTTCTGAGAATGCTTCTGTCTGGCTTTTATTGGAAGACGTTTCCTTTTCACCAAAGGCATCAAAGCGCTCCAAATGTCCACTTCCAGATTCTTCCAAAAGAGTGTTTCAAACGTGCTCAAAGTAAGGGAATGTTCAACTCTGTGACTTGAATGCAGATATCACCAAGTAGTTTCTAATAGTGCTTCTGTCTAGATTTTAGATGATGATATTCCCGTTTCCAACGAAATCGTTAGATCTATCCAAATATCCAGTTACAGTTTCTACCAAAAGAGTGTTTCCAAACTGCTGCATCAAAAGAAAGGTTCAACTCTGTTAGTTGAGGACACACATCACAAAGAAGTTTGTGAGAATGCTTCTGTCTATATTTTGTATGACCTATTCCCTTTTCCAGCGATATCATTAAAGCAATCTAAATATCCATTTGCAGAATCCACAAAAATAGAGTTTCAAAGCTGCTCTGTAAAAAGAAAGGTTCCACTCTGTTAGCTGAGTACACACATCACAAACTTGTTTCTCAGAATCCTGCTGTCTACCTTTTATTTGAACTCCCGCTTCCAACGAAATCCTCCAAGCTATGCAAATATCCACTTGCATTTTCCACAAAAAGAGTGTTTCAAAACTGCTCTATCAATAGACATGTTCAACTCCTTTAGCTGGGTACACACATCACAAACAAGTTTCTGAGAATGCTTCTGTCTAGTTTTTATGGGTAGACATTCCCTTTTTCACAAAAGGAATCAAAGCGCTCCAAATGTCCACTTCCAGACACTACAAAAAGAGTGTTTCAAACGTGCTCTAAGAAAGCGAATGTTCAACTCTGTGACTTGAATGCAGATATCACAAAGTAGTTTCTGAGAGGGCTTCTGTCTAGATTTTAGATGATGATATTCCCGTTTCCAACGAAATCATTAGAGCTATCCAAATATCCACTTACAGTTTCTACAAAAAGAGTGTTTCCAAACTGCTGCATCAAAACAGAGGTTCCACTCTGTTAGCTGAGTACACACATCACAAACTTGTTTCTCAGAATCCTTCTGTCTCGTTTTTATGGGGGAAGATATTTACTTTTTCACTGTAGGCATCAAAGCGCTCCACATGTCCACATCCAGATACTACAGAAAGAGTATTTCAAACCTGTCCTATGAAAGGGAATGTTCAACTCTATGAGTTGAATGCAGACATCAGAAAGAAATTTCTGAGAATGCTGCTGTCTACCTTTTATTTGAATTCCCGCTTCCAACGAAATCCTCCAAGCTATCCAAATATCCACTTGCAGATTCCACAAAAAGAGTGTTTCAAAACTGCTCTCTATCAATGGCAAAGTTCAACTCTGTTAGTTGAGGACACATATCACCAACAAGTTTCTGAGAATGCTTCTGTCTATTTTTTATGGGAAGATATTTCCTTTTTCACCGTAGGCGTCAAGGCGATCGAAATGTCCACTTCCACAAACTACAAAAAGAGTGTTTCAAACCTGCTCTATGAAAGGCCATGTTCATCTCTATGAGTTGAATGGAAATATCCGAAAGAAATTTCTGGGAATGCTGCTGTCTAGTTTTTATACGAATTCCCGCTTCCAACGAAATCCTCAAAGCAATCCAAATATCCACTTGCAGAATCCACAAAAAGAGTGTTTCAAAACTGCACTATCAATAGAAAGGTTCAACACTTTTAGTTGAGTACACACATCACGAACAAGTTTCTGAGAATGCTTCTGTCTGGCTTTTATTGGAAGACGTTTCCTTTTCACCAAAGGCATCAAAGCGCTCCAAATGTCCACTTCCAGATTCTTCCAAAAGAGTGTTTCAAACGTGCTCAAAGTAAGGGAATGTTCAAATCTGTGACTTGAATGCAGATATCACCAAGTAGTTTCTAATAGTGCTTCTGTCTAGATTTTAGATGATGATATTCCCGTTTCCAACGAAATCGTTAGAGCTATCCAAATATCCACTTACAGTTTCTACCAAAAGGGTGTTTCCAAACTGTTGCATCAAAAGAAAGGTTCAACTCTGTTAGTTGAGGACACACATCACAAAGAAGTTTGTGAGAATGCTTCTGTCCAGATTTTGTATGACAATATTCCCTTTTCCAACGATATCGTTAAAGCAATCTAAATATCAATTTGCAAAATCCACAAAAATAGAGTTTCAAAGCTGCTCTGTAAAAAGAAAGGTTCCACTCTGTTAGCTGAGTACACACATCACAAACTTGTTTCTGAGAATCCTGCTGTCTACCTTTTATTTGAATTCCCGCTTCCAACGAAATCCTCCAAGCTATCCAAATATCCACCTGCATTTTCCACAAAAAGAGTGTTTCAAAACTGCTCTATCAATAGAAATGTTCAACTCCTTTGGCTGGGTACACACATCACAAACAAGTTTCTGAGAATGCTTTCTGTCTAGTTTTTATTGGAAGACATTTCCTTTTTCACCAAAGGCATCAAGGAGCTCCAAATGTCCACTTCCAGATACTACAAAAAGAGTGTTTCAAAAGTGCTCTAAGAAAGCGAATGTTCAACTCTGTGACTTGAATGCAGATATCAAAAAGTAGTTTCTGAGAGTGCTTCTGTCTAGATTTTAGATGATGATATTCCCGTTTCCAACGAAATCATTAGAGCTATCCAAATATCCACTTACAGTTTCTACAAAAAGAGTGTTTCCAAACTGCTGCATCAAAAGAGAGGTTCCACTCTGTTAGCTGAGTACACACATCACAAACTTGTTTCTCAGAATCCTTCTGTCTCGTTCTTATGGGAAGATATTTACTTTTTCACCGTAGGCATCAAAGCGCTCCAAATGTCCACATCCAGATACTCCAGAAAGAGTGTTTCAAACCTGCTCTATGAAAGGGAATCTTCAACTCTATGAGTTGAATGCAGACATCAGAAAGAAATTTCTGAGAATGCTGCTGTCTACCTTTTATTTGAATTCCCGCTTCCAACGAAATCCTCCAAGCTATCCAAATATCCACTTGCAGATTCCACAAAAAGAGTGTTTCAAAACTGCTCTCTATCAATGGCAAAGTTCAACTCTGTTAGTTGAGGACACATATCACCAACAAGTTTCTGAGAATGCTTCTGTCTATTTTTTATGGGAAGATATTTCCTTTTTCACCGTAGGCGTCAAGGCGATCGAAATGTCCACTTCCACAAACTACAAAAAGAGTGTTTCAAACCTGCTCTCTGAAAGGCCATGTTCATCTCTATGAGGTGAATGGAAATATCCGAAAGAAATTTCTGGGAATGCTGCTGTCTAGTTTTTATACGAATTCCCGCTTCCAACGAAATCCTCAAAGCAATCCAAATATCCACTTGCAGAATCCACAAAAAGAGTGTTTCAAAACTGCTCTGTCAATAGAAAGGTTCAACTCTTTTAGTTGAGTACACACATCACAAACAAGTTTCTGAGAATGCTTCTGTCTGGCTTTTATTGGAAGACGTTTCCTTTTCACCAAAGGCATCAAAGCGCTCCAAATGTCCACTTCCAGATTCTTCCAAAAGAGTGTTTGAAACGTGCTCAAAGTAAGGGAATGTTCAACTCTGTGACTTGAATGCAGATATCACCAAGTAGTTTCTAATAGTGCTTCTGTCTACATTTTAGATGATGATATTCCCTTTTCCAACGAAATCGTTAGAGCTATCCAAATATCCAGTTACAGTTTCTACCAAAAGGGTGTTTCCAAATTGCTGCATCAAAAGAAAGGTTCAACTCTGTTAGTTGAGGACACACATCACAAAGAAGTTTGTGAGAATGCTTCTGTCTAGATTTTAGATGATGATATTCCCGTTTCCAACGAAATCATTAGAGCTATCCAAATATCCACTTACAGTTTCTACAAAAAGAGTGTTTCCAAACTGCTGCATCAAAAGAGAGGTTCCACTCTGTTAGCTGAGTACACACATCACAAACTTATTTCTCAGAATCCTGCTGTCTACCTTTTATTTGAATTCCCGCTTCCAACGAAAACCTACAAGCTATCCAAATATCCACTTGCAGATTCCACAAAAAGAGTGTTTCAAAACTGCTCTATCAATAGAAATGTTCAACTCCTTTCGCTGGGTACACACATCACAAACAAGTTTCTGAGAAAGCTTCTGTCTAGTTTTTATGGGAAGACATTTCCTTTTTCACCAAAGGCATCAAAGAGCTCCAAATGTCCACTTCCAGATACTACAAAAAGAGTGTTTCAAAAGTGCTCTAAGAAAGCGAATGTTCAAGTCTGTGACTTGAATGCAGATATCAAAAAGTAGTTTCTGAGAGTGCTTCTGGCTAGATTTTAGATGATGATATTCCCGTTTCCAACGAAATCATTAGAGCTATCCAAATATCCACTTACAGTTTCTACAAAAAGAGTGTTTCCAAACTGCTGCATCAAAAGAGAGGTTCCACTCTGTTAGCTGAGTACACACATCACAAACTTGTTTCTCAGAATCCTTCTGTCTCGTTTTTATGGGAAGATATTTACTTTTCCACCGTAGGCATCAAAGCGCTCCAAATGTCCACATCCAGATACTCCAGAAAGAGTGTTTCAAACCTGCTCTATGAAAGGGAATCTTCAACTCTATGAGTTGAATGCAGACATCAGAAAGAAATTTCTGAGAATGCTGCTGTCTACCTTTTATTTGAATTCCCGCTTCCAACGAAATCCTCCAAACTATCCAAATATCCACTTGCAGATTCAGGAAAAAGAGTGTTTCAAAACTGCTCTCTATCAATGGCAAAGTTCAACTCTGTTAGTTGAGGACACATATCACCAACAAGTTTCTGAGAATGCTTCTGTCTATTTTTTATGGGAAGATATTTCCTTTTTCACCGTAGGCGTCAAGGCGATCGAAATGTCCACTTCCACAAACTACAAAAAGAGTGTTTCAAACCTGCTCTATGAAAGGCCATGTTCATCTCTATGAGTTGAATGGAAATATCCGAAAGAAATTTCTGGGAATGCTGTTGTCTAGTGTTTGTACGAATTCCCGCTTCCAACGAAATCCTCAAAGCAATCCAAATATCCACTTGCAGAATCCACAAAAAGAGTGTTTCAAAACTGCTCTATCAATAGAAAGGTTCAACTCTTTTAGTTGAGTACACACATCACGAACAAGTTTCTCAGAATGCTTCTGTCTGGCTTTTATTGGAAGACGTTTCCTTTTCACCAAAGGCATCAAAGCGCTCCAAATGTCCACTTCCAGATTCTTCCAAAAGAGTGTTTCAAACGTGCTCAAAGTAAGGGAATGTTCAACTCTTTGACTTGAATGCAGATATCACCAAGTAGTTTCTAATAGTGCTTCTGTCTACATTTTAGATGATGATATTCCCGTTTCCAACGAAATCGTTAGAGCTATCCAAATATCCAGTTACAGTTTCTACCAAAAGGGTGTTTCCAAATTGCTGCATCAAAAGAAAGGTTCAACTCTGTTAGTTGAGGACACACATCACAAAGAAGTTTGTGAGAATGCTTCTGTCTAGATTTTGTATGACGATATTCCCTTTTCCAACGATATCGTTAAAGCAATCTAAATATCAATTTGCAGAATCCACAAAAATAGAGTTTCAAAGCTGCTCTGTAAAAAGAAAGGTTCCACTCTGTTAGCTGAGTACACACATCACAAACTTGTTTCCTCAGAATCCTTTCTGTCTCGTTTTTATGGGAAGATATTTACTTTTTCACCATAGGCATCAAAGCGCTCCAAATGTCCACATCCAGATACTCCAGAAAGAGTGTTTCAAACCTGCTCTATGAAAGGGAATCTTCAACTCTATGAGTTGAATGCAGACATCAGAAAGAAATTTCTGAGAATGCTGTTGTCTACCTTTTATTTGAAATCCCGCTTCCAACGAAATCCTCCAAGCTATCCAAATATCCACCTGCATTTTCCACAAAAAGAGTGTTTCAAAACTGCTCTATCAATAGAAATGTTCAACTCCTTTAGCTGGGTACACACATCACAAACAAGTTTCTGAGAATGCTTCTGTCTAGTTTTTATGGGAAGACGTTCCCTTTTTCACCAAAGGCATCAAAGCGCTCCAAATGTCCACTTCCAGACACTACAAAAAGAGTGTTGCAAACGTGCTCTAAGAAAGCGAATGTTCAACTCTGTGACTTGAATGCAGATATCACAAAGTAGTTTCTGAGAGGGCTTCTGTCTAGATTTTAGATGATGATATTCCCGTTTCCAACGAAATCATTAGAGCTATCCAAATATCCACTTACAGTTTCTACAAAAAGAGTGTTTCCAAACTGCTGCATCAAAAGAGAGGTTCCACTCTGTTAGCTGAGTACACACATCACAAACTTGTTTCTCAGAATCCTTCTGTCTCGTTTTTATGGGAAGATATTTACTTTTTCACCGTAGGCATCAAAGCGCTCCAAATGCCCACATCCAGATACTCCAGAAAGAGTGTTTCAAACCTGCTCTATGAAAGGGAATGTTCAACTCTATGAGTTGAATGCAGACATCAGAAAGAAATTTCTGAGAATGCTGCTGTCTACCTTTTATTTGAATTCCCGCTTCCAACGAAATCCTCCAAGCTATCCAAATATCCACTTGCAGATTCCACAAAAAGAGTGTTTCAAAACTGCTCTCTATCAATGGCAAAGTTCAACTCTGTTAGTTGAGGACACATATCACCAACAAGTTTCTGAGAATGCTTCTGTCTATTTTTTATGGGAAGATATTTCCTTTTTCACCGTAGGCGTCAAGGCGATCGAAATGTCCACTTCCACAAACTACAAAAAGAGTGTTTCAAACCTGCTCTATGAAAGGCGATGTTCATCTCTATGAGTTGAATGGAAATATCCGAAAGAAATTTCTGGGAATGCTGCTGTCTAGTTTTTATATGAATTCCCGCTTCCAACGAAATCCTCAAAGCAATCCAAATATCCACTTGCAGAATCCACAAAAAGAGTGTTTCAAAACTGCTCTATCAATAGAAAGGTTCAACTCTTTTAGTTGAGTACACACATCACAAACAAGTTTCTGAGAATGTTTTCTGTCTGGCTTTTATTGGAAGACGTTTCCTTTTCACCAAAGGCATCAAAGCGCTCCAAATGTCCACTTCCAGATTCTTCCAAAAGAGTGTTTGAAACGTGCTCAAAGTAAGGGAATGTTCAACTCTGTGACTTGAATGCAGATATCACCAAGTAGTTTCTAATAGTGCTTCTGTCTAGATTTTAGATGATGATATTCCCGTTTCCAACGAAATCGTTAGAGCTATCCAAATATCCAGTTACAGTTTCTACCAAAAGGGTGTTTCCAAATTGCTGCATCAAAAGAAAGGTTCAACCTCTGTTAGTTGAGGACACACATCACAAAGAAGTTTGTGAGAATGCTTCTGTCTAGATTTTGTATGACCATATTCCCTTTTCCAGCGATATCATTAAAGCAATCTAAATATCCATTTGCAGAATCCACAAAAATAGAGTTTCAAAGCTGCTCTGTAAAAAGAAAGGTTCCACTCTGTTAGCTGAGTACACACATCACAAACTTGTTTCTCAGCATCCTGCTGTCTACCTTTTATTTGAATTCCCGCTTCCAACGAAATCCTCCTAGCTATCCAAACATCCACTTGCATTTTCCACAAAAAGAGTGTTTCAAAACTGCTCTATCAATAGAAACGTTCAACTCCTTTAGCTGGGTACACACATCACAAACAAGTTTCTGAGAATGCTTCTGTCTAGTTTTTATGGGAAGACATTCCCTTTTTCACCAAAGGCACCAAAGCGCTCCAAATGTCCACTTCCAGACACTACAAAAAGAGTGTTTCAAACGTGCTCTAAGAAACCGAATGTTCAACTCTGTGACTTGAATGCAGATATCACAAAGTAGTTTCTGAGAGGGCTTCTGTCTAGATTTTAGATGATGATATTCCCGTTTCCAACAAAATCATTAGAGCTTCCAAATATCCACTTACAGTTTCTACAAAAAGAGTGTTTCCAAACTGCTGCATCAAAAGAGAGGTTCCACTCTGTTAGCTGAGTACACACATCACAAACTTGTTTCTCAGAATCCTTCTGTCTAGCTTTTATGGGAAGATATTTCCTTTTTCACCATAGGCATCAAAGCGATCCCAATGTCCACATCCAGATAGTACAGAAAGAGTGTTTCAAACCTGCTCTATGAAAGGGAATGTTCAACTCTATGAGTTGAAGGCAAACATCACAAAGAAATTTCTGAGAATGCTGCTGTCTACCTTTTATTTGAATTCCCGCTTCCAACGAAATCCTCCAAGCTATCCAAATATCCACCTGCGTTTTCCACAACAAGAGTGTTTCAAAACTGCTCTATCAATAGAAATGTTCAACTCCTTTGGCTGGGTACACACATCACAAACAAGTTTCTGAGAATGCTTCTGTCTATTTTTTATGGGAAGATATTTCCTTCTTCACCGTAGGCGTCAAGGCGATCGAAATGTCCACTTCCACAAACTACAAAAAGAGTGTTTCAAACCTGCTCTATGAAAGGCCATGTTCATCTCTATGAGTCGAATGGAAATATCCGAAAGAAATTTTCTGGGAATGCTGCTGTCTAGTTTTATACGAATTCCCGCTTCCAACGAAATCCTCAAAGCAATCCAAATATCCACTTGCAGAATCCACAAAAAGAGTGTTTCAAAACTGCTCTATCAATAGAAAGGTTCAACTCTTTTAGTTGAGTACACACATCACAAACAAGTTTCTGAGAATGCTTCTGTCTGGCTTTTATTGGAAGACGTTTCCTTTTCACCAAAGGCATCAAAGCGCTCCAAATGTCCACTTCCAGATTCTTCCAAAAGAGTGTTTGAAACGTGCTCAAAGTAAGGGAATGTTCAACTCTGTGACTTGAATGCAGATATCACCAAGTAGTTTCTAATAGTGCTTCTGTCTAGATTTTAGATGATGATATTCCCGTTTCCAAGGAAATCGTTAGAGCTATCCAAATATCCAGTTACAGTTTCTACCAAAAGGGTGTTTCCAAATTGCTGCATCAAAAGAAAGGTTCAACTCTGTTAGTTGAGGACACACATCACAAAGAAGTTTGTGAGAATGCTTCTGTCTAGATTTTGTATGACGATATTCCCTTTTCCAACGATATCGTTAAAGCAATCTAAATATCAATTTGCAGAATCCACAAAAATAGAGTTTCAAAGCTGCTCTGTAAAAAGAAAGGTTCCACTCTGTTAGCTGAGTACACACATCACAAACTTGTTTCTGAGAATCCCTTCTGTCTCGTTTTTATGGGAAGATATTTACTTTTCCACCGTAGGCATCAAAGCGCTCCAAAGGTCCACATCCAGATACTCCAGAACGAGTGTTTCAAACCTGCTCTATGAAAGGGAATCTTCAACTCTATGAGTTGAATGCAGACATCAGAAAGAAATTTCTGAGAATGCTGCTGTCTACCTTTTATTTGAATTCCCGCTTCCAACGAAATCCTCCAAGCTATCCAAATATCCACTTGCATTTTCCACAAAAAAAGTGTTTCATAACTGCTCTGTCAATAGAAATATTCAACTCCTTTAGCTGGGTACACACATCACAAACAAGTTTCTGAGAATGCTTCTGTCTAGTTTTTATGGGAAGACGTTCCCTTTTTCACCAAAGGCATCAAAGCGCTCCAAATGTCCACTTCCAGACACTACAAAAAGAGTGTTTCAAACGTGCTCTAAGAAACCGAATGTTCAACTCTGTGACTTGAATGCAGATATCACAAAGTAGTTTCTGAGAGGGCTTCTGTCTAGATTTTAGACGATGATATTCCCGTTTCCAACGAAATCATTAGAGCTATCCAAATATCCACTTACAGTTTCTACAAAAAGAGTGTTTCCAAACTGCTGCATCAAAAGAGAGGTTCCACTCTGTTAGCTGAGTACACACATCACAAACTTGTTTCTCAGAATCCTTCTGTCTCGTTTTTATGGGAAGATATTTACTTTTTCACCGTAGGCATCAAAGCGCTCCAAATGTCCACATCCAGATAGTACAGAAAGAGTTTTTCAAACCTGCTCTATGAAAGGGAATCTTCAACTCTATGAGTTGAATGCAGACATCAGAAAGAAATTTCTGAGAATGCTGCTGTCTACCTTTTATTTGAATTCCCGCTTCCAACGAAATCCTCCAAGCTATCCAAATATCCACTTGCAGATTCCACAGAAAGAGTGTTTCAAAACTGCTCTCTATCAATGGCAAAGTTCAACTCTGTTAGTTGAGGACACATATCACCAACAAGTTTCTGAGAATGCTTCTGTCTATTTTTTATGGGAAGATATTTCCTTTTTCACCGTAGGCGTCAAGGCGATCGAAATGTCCACTTCCACAAACTACAAAAAGAGTGTTTCAAACCTGCTCTATGAAAGGCCATGTTCATCTCTATGAGTTGAATGGAAATATCCGAAAAAAATTTCTGGGAATGCTGCTGTCTAGTTTTTATATGAATTCCCGCTTCCAACGAAATCCTCAAAGCAATCCAAATATCCACTTGCAGAATCCACAAAAAGAGTGTTTCAAAACTGCTCTATCAATAGAAAGGTTCAACTCTTTTAGTTGAGTACACACATCACGAACAAGTTTCTGAGAATGCTTCTCTCTGGCTTTTATTGGAAGACGTTTCCTTTTCACCAAAGGCATCAAAGCGCTCCAAATGTCCACTTCCAGATTCTTCCAAAAGAGTGTTTCAAACGTGCTCAAAGTAAGGGAATGTTCAACTCTGTGACTTGAATACAGATATCACCAAGTAGTTTCTAATAGTGCTTCTATCTAGATTTTAGATGATGATATTCCCGTTTCCAACGAAATCGTTAGAGCTATCCAAATATCCACTTACAGTTTCTACAAAAAGAGTGTTTCCAAACTGCTGCATCAAAAGAAAGGTTCAACTCTGTTAGTTGAGGACACACATCACAAAGAAGTTTGTGAGAATGCTTCTGTCTAGATTTTGTATGACGATATTCCCTTTTCCAACGATATCATTAAAGCAATCTAAATATCCATTTGCAGAATCCACAAAAATAGAGTTTCAAAGCTGCTCTGTAAAAAGAAAGGTTCCACTCTGTTAGCTGAGTACACACATCACAAACTTGTTTCTCAGAATCCTTCTGTCTCGTTTTTATGGGAAGATATTTACTTTTCCACCGTAGGCATCAAAGCGCTCCAAATGTCCACATCCAGATACTCCAGAAAGAGTGTTTCAAACCTGCTCTATGAAAGGGAATCTTCAACTCTATGAGTTGAATGCAGACATCAGAAAGAAATTTCTGAGAAATGCTGTTGTCTACCTTTTATTTGAAATCCCGCTTCCAACGAAAGCCTCCAAGCTATCCAAATATCCACTTGCATTTTCCACAAAAAGAGTGTTTCAAAACTGCTCTATCAATAGAAATGTTCAACTCCTTTAGCTGGGTACACACATCACAAACAAGTTTCTGAGAATGCTTCTGTCTAGTTTTTATGGGAAGACATTCCCTTTTTCACCAAAGGCATCAAAGCGCTCCAAATGTCCACTTCCAGACACTACAAAAAGAGTGTTTCAAACGTGCTCTAAGAAACCGAATGTTCAACTCTGTGACTTGAATGCAGATATCACAAAGTACTTTCTGAGACGGCTTCTGTCTAGATTTTAGATGATGATATTCCCGTTTCCAACGAAATCATTAGAGCTATCCAAATATCCACTTACAGTTTCTACAAAAAGAGTGTTTCCAAACTGCTGCATCCAAAGAGAGGTTCCACTCTGTTAGCTGAGTACACACATCACAAACTTGTTTCTCAGAATCCTTCTGTCTCGTTTTTATGGGAAGATATTTACTTTTTCACCGTAGGCATCAAAGCGCTCCAAATGTCCACATCTAGATACTCCAGAAAGAGTGTTTCAAACCTGCTCTATGAAAGGGAATCTTCAACTCTATGAGTTGAATGCAGACATCAGAAAGAAATTTCTGAGAATGCTGCTGTCTACCTTTTATTTGAATTCCCGCTTCCAACGAAATCCTCCAAGCTATCCAAATATCCACTTGCAGATTCCACAAAAAGAGTGTTTCAAAACTGCTCTCTATCAATGGCAAAGTTCAACTCTGTTAGTTGAGGACACATATCACCAACAAGTTTCTGAGAATGCTTCTGTCTATTTTTTATGGGAAGATATTTCCTTTTTCACTGTAGGCGTCAAGGCGATCGAAATGTCCACTTCCACAAACTACAAAAAGAGTGTTTCAAACCTGCTCTATGAAAGGCGATGTTCATCTCTATGAGTTGAATGGAAATATCCGAAAGAAATTTCTGGGAATGCTGCTGTCTAGTTTTTATATGAATTCCCGCTTCCAACGAAATCCTCAAAGCAATCCAAATATCCACTTGCAGAATCCACAAAAAGAGTGTTTCAAAACTGCTCTATCAATAGAAAGGTTCAACTCTTTTAGTTGAGTACACACATCACAAACAAGTTTCTGAGAATGCTTCTGTCTGGCTTTTATTGGAAGACGTTTCCTTTTCACCAAAGGCATCAAAGCGCTCCAAATGTCCACTTCCAGATTCTTCCAAAAGAGTGTTTCAAACGTGCTCAAAGTAAGGGAATGTTCAACTCTGTGACTTGAATGCAGATATCACCAAGTAGTTTCTAATAGTGCTTCTGTCTAGATTTTAGATGATGATATTCCCGTTTCCAACGAAATCGTTAGAGCTATCCAAATATCCACTTACACTTTCTACAAAAAGAGTGTTTCCAAACTGCTGCATCAAAAGAAAAGTTCAACTCTGTTAGTTGAGGACACACATCACAAAGAAGTTTGTGAGAATGCTTCTGTCTAGATTTTGTATGACGATATTCCCTTTTCCAACGATATCATTAAAGCAATCTAAATATCAATTTGCAGAATCCACAGAAATAGAGTTTCAAAGCTGCTCTGTAAAAAGAAAGGTTCCACTCTGTTAGCTGAGTACACACATCACAAACTTGTTTCTGAGAATCCTTCTGTCTCGTTTTTATGGGAAGATATTTACTTTTTCACCGTAGGCATCAAAGCGCTCCAAATGTCCACATCCAGATACTCCAGAAAGACTGTTTCAAACCTGCCCTATGAAAGGGAATCTTCAACTCTATGAGTTGAATGCAGACATCAGAAAGAAATTTCTGAGAATGCTGCTGTCTACCTTTTTATTTGAATTCCCGCTTCCAACGAAATCCTCCAAGCTATCCAAATATCCACCTGCATTTTCCACAACAAGAGTGTTTCAAAACTGCTCTATCAATAGAAATGTTCAACTCCTTTGGCTGGGTACACACATCACAAACAAGTTTCTGAGAATGCTTCTTTCTAGATTTTATGGGAAGACATTTCCTTTTTCACCAAAGGCATCAAAGAGCTCCAAATGTCCACTTCCAGATACTACAAAAAGAGTGTTTCAAAAGTGCTCTAAGAAAGCGAATGTTCAACACTATGACTTGAATGCAGATATCAAAAAGTAGTTTCTGAGAGTGCTTCTGTCTAGATTTTAGATGATGATATTCCCGTTTCCAACGAAATCATTAGAGCTATCCAAATATCCACTTACAGTTTCTACAAAAAGAGTGTTTCCAAACTACTGCATCAAAAGAGAGGTTCCACTCTGTTAGGTGAGTACACACATCACAAACTTGTTTCTCAGAATCCTTCTGTCTCGTTTTTCTGGGAAGATATTTACTTTTTCACCGTAGGCATCAAAGCGCTCCAAATGTCCACATCCAGATACTCCAGAAAGAGTGTTTCAAACCTGCTCTATGAAAGGGAATCTTCAACTCCTATGAGTTGAATGCAGACATCAGAAAGAAATTTCTGAGAATGCTGCTGTCTACCTTTCATTTGAATTCCCGCTTCCAACGAAATCCTCCAAGCTATCCAAATATTCACTTGCAGATTCCACAAAAAGAGTGTTTCAAAACTACTCTATCAATAGAAAGGTACAACTCTGTCAGTTGAGGACACACATCACAAACAAGTTTCTGAGAATGCTGTCTACCTTTTATTTGAATTCCCGCTTCCAACGAAAACCTCCAAGCTATCCAAATATCCACTTGCAGATTCCACAAAAAGAGTGTTTCAAAACTGCTCTATCAATAGAAATGTTCAACTCCTTTCGCTGGGTACACACATCACAAACAAGTTTCTGAGAATGCTTCTGTCTGGCTTTTATTGGAAGACGTTTCCTTTTCACCAAAGGCATCAAAGCGCTCCAAATGTCCACTTCCAGATTCTTCCAAAAGAGTGTTTCAAACGTGCTCAAAGTAAGGGAATGTTCTACTCTGTGACTTGAATGCAGATATCACCAAGTAGTTTCTAATAGTGCTTCTGTCTAGATTTTAGATGACGATATTCCCGTTTCCAGCGAAATCGTTAGAGCTATCCAAATATCCACTTACAGTTTCTACAAAAAGAGTGTTTCCAAACTGCTGCATCAAAAGAAAGGTTCAACTCTGTTAGTTGAGGACACACATCACAAAGAAGTTTGTGAGAATGCTTCTGTCTAGATTTTGTATGACCATATTCCCTTTTCCAGCGATATCATTAAAGCAATCTAAATATCCATTTGCAGAATCCACAAAAATAGAGTTTCAAAGCTGCTCTGTAAAAAGAGAGGTTCCACTCTGTTAGCTGAGTACACACATCACAAACTTGTTTCTCAGAATCCTGCTGTCTACCTTTTATTTGAATTCCCGCTTCCAACGAAATCCTCCAAGCTATCCAAATATCCACTTGCATTTTCCACAAAAAGAGTGTTTCAAAACTGCTCTATCAATAGAAACGTTCAACTCCTTTAGCTGGGTACACACATCACAAACAAGTTTCTGAGAATGCTTCTGTCTAGTTTTTATGGGAAGACATTCCCTGTTTCACCAAAGGCATCAAAGCGCTCCAAATGTCCACTTCCTGACACTACAAAAAGAGTGTTTCAAACGTGCTCTAAGAAAGCGAATGTTCAACTCTCTGACTTGAATGCAGATATCACAAAGTAGTTTGCTGAGAGGGCTTCTGTCTAGATTTTAGATGATGATATTCCCGTTTCCAACGAAATCATTAGAGCTATCCAAATATCCACTTACAGTTTCTACAAAAAGAGTGTTTCCAAACTGCTGCATCAAGAGAGAGGTTCCACTCTGTTAGCTGAGTACACACATCACAAACTTGTTTCTCAGAATCCTTCTGTCTCGTTTTTATGGGAAGATATTTACTTTTTCACCGTAGGCATCAAAGCGCTCCAAATGTCCACATCCAGATACTCCAGAAAGAGTGTTTCAAACCTGCTCTATGAAAGGGAATGTTCAACTCTATGAGTTGAATGCAGACATCAGGAAGAAATTTCTGAGAATGCTTGCTGTCTACCTTTTATTTGAATTCCCGCTTCCAACGAAATCCTCCAAGCTATCCAAATATCCACTTGCAGATTCCACAAAAAGAGTGTTTCAAAACTGCTCTCTATCAATGGCAAAGTTCAACTCTGTTAGTTGAGGACACATATCACCAACAAGTTTCTGAGAATGCTTCTGTCTATTTTTTATGGGAAGATATTTCCTTTTTCACCGTAGGCGTCAAGGCGATCGAAATGTCCACTTCCACAAACTACAAAAAGAGTGTTTCAAACCTGCTCTATGAAAGGCGATGTTCATCTCTATGAGTTGAATGGAAATATCCGAAAGAAATTTCTGGGAATGCTGCTGTCTAGTTTTTATACGAATTGCCGCTTCCAACGAAATCCTCAAAGCAATCCAAATATCCACTTGCAGAATCGACAAAAAGAGTGTTTCAAAACTGCTCTATCAATAGAAAGGTTCAACTCTTTTAGTTGAGTACACACATCACAAACAAGTTTCTGAGAATGCTTCTGTCTGGCTTTTATTGGAAGACGTTTCCTTTTCACCAAAGGCATCAAAGCGCTCCAAATGTCCACTTCCAGATTCTTCCAAAAGAGTGTTTGAAACGTGCTCAAAGTAAGGGAATGTTCAACTCTGTGACTTGAATGCAGATATCACCAAGTAGTTTCTAATAGTGCTTCTGTCTAGATTTTAGATGATGATATTCCCGTTTCCAACGAAATCGTTAGAGCTATCCAAATATCCACTTACAGTTGCTACAAAAACAGTGTTTCCAAACTGCTGCATCAAAAGAAAGGTTCAACTCTGTTAGATGAGGACACACGTCACAAAGAAGTTTGTGAGAATGCTTCTGTCTAGATTTTGTATGACGATATTCCCTTTTCCAACGATATCGTTAAAGCAATCTAAATATCAATTTGCAGAATCCACAAAAATAGAGTTTCAAAGCTGCTCTGTAAAAAGAAAGGTTCCACTCTGTTAGCTGAGTACACATATCACAAACTTGTTTCTCAGAATCCTGCTGTCTACCATTTATTTGAATTCCCGCTTCCAACGAAATCTTCCAACCTATCCAAATATCCACCTGCATTTTCCACAAAAAGAGTGTTTCAAAACTGCTCTATCAATAGAAATGTTCAACTCCTTTAGCTAGGTACACACATCACAAACAAGTTTCTGAGAATGCTTCTGTCTAGTTTTTATGGGAAGACGTTCCCTTTTTCACCAAAGGCATCAAAGCGCTCCAAATGTCCACTTCCAGACACTACAAAAAGAGTGTTTCCAACGTGCTCTAAGAAAGCGAATGTTCAACTCTGTGACTTGAATGCAGATATCACAAAGTAGTTTGTGAGAGGGCTTCTGTCTAGATTTTGTATGACGATATTCCCTTTTCCAATGATATCGTTAAAGCAATCTAAATATCAATTTGCAGAATCCACAAAAATAGAGTTTCAAAGCTGCTCTGTAAAAAGAAAGGTTCCACTCTGTTAGCTGAGTACACACATCACAAACTTGTTTCTGAGAATCCTGCTGTCTACCTTTTATTTGAATTCCCGCTTCCAACGAAATCCTCCAAGCTATCCAAATATCCACTTGCATTTTCCACAAAAAGAGTGCTTCAAAACTGCTCTATCAATAAATGTTCAACTCCTTTAGCTGGGTGCACACATCACAAACAAGTTTCTGAGAATGCTTCTGTCTAGTTTTTATGGGAAGACGTTCCCTTTTTCACCAAAGGCATCAAAGCACTCCAAATGTCCACTTCCAGACACTACAAAAAGAGTGTTTCCAACGTGCTCTAAGAAAGCGAATGTTCAACTCTGTGACTTGAATGCAGATATCACAAAGTAGTTTCTGAGAGGGCTTCTGTCCAGATTTTGTATGACGATATTCCCTTTTCCAACGATATCGTTAAAGCAATCTAAATATCAATTTCCAGAATCCACAAAAATAGAGTTTCAAAGCTGCTCTGTAAAAAGAAAGGTTCCACTCTGTTAGCTGAGTACACACAACACAAACTTGTTTCTGAGAATCCTTCTGTCTCGTTTTTATGGGAAGATATTTACTTTTTCACCGTAGGCATCAAAGCGCTCCAAATGTCCACATCCAGATACTCCAGAAAGAGTGTTTCAAACCTGCTCTATGAAAGGGAATCTTCAACTGCTATGAGTTGAATGCAGACATCAGAAAGAAATTTCTGAGAATGCTGCTGTCTACCTTTCATTTGAATTCCCGCTTCCAACGAAATCCTCCAAGCTATCCAAATATCCACTTGCAGATTCCACAAAAAGAGTGTTTCTAAACTGCTCTATCAATGGCAAGGTTCAACTCTGTCAGTTGAGGATACACATCACAAACAAGTTTCTGAGAATTCTTCTGTCTATTTTTTATGGGAAGATATTTCCTTTTTCACCGTAGGCGTCAAGGCGATCGAAATGTCCACTTCCACAAACTACAAAAAGTGTGTTTCAATATGAAAGGCCATGTTCATCTCTATGAGTTGAATGGAAATATCCGAAAGAAATTTCTGGGAATGCTGCTGTCTAGTGTTTATACGAATTCCCGCTTCCAACGAAATCCTCAAAGCAATCCAAATATCCACTTGCAGAATCCACAAAAAGAGTGTTTCAAAACTGCTCTATCAATAGAAAGGTTCAACTCTTTTAGTTGAGTACACACATCACAAACAAGTTTCTGAGAATGCTTCTGTCTGGCTTTTATTGGAAGACGTTTCCTTTTCACCAAAGGCATCAAAGCGCTCCAAATGTCCACTTCCAGATTCTTCCAAAAGAGTGTTTCAAACGTGCTCAAAGTAAGGGAATGTTCTACTCTGTGTCTTGAATGCAGATATCACCAAGTAGTTTCTAATAGTGCTTCTGTCTAGATTTTAGATGATGATATTCCCGTTTCCAACGAAATCGTTAGAGCTATCCAAATATCCAATTACAGTTTCTACCAAAAGGGTGTTTCCAAATTGCTGCATCAAAAGAAAGGTTCAACTCTGTTAGTTGAGGACACACATCACAAAGAAGTTTGTGAGAATGCTTCTGTCTAGATTTTGTATGACGATATTCCCTTTTCCAACGATATCGTTAAAGCAATCTAAATATCCATTTGCAGAATCCACAAAAATAGAGTTTCAAAGCTGCTCTGTAAAAAGAAAGGTTCCACTCTGTTAGCTGAGTACACACATCACAAACTTGTTTCTCAGAATCCTTCTGTCTCGTTTTTATGGGAAGATATTTACTTTTTCACCGTAGGCATCAAAGCGCTCCAAATGTCCACATCCAGATACTCCAGAAAGAGTGTTTCAAACCTGCTCCTATGAAAGGGAATGCTTCAACTCTATGAGTTGAATGCAGACATCAGAAAGAAATTTCTGAGAATGCTGCTGTCTACCTTTTATTTGAACTCCCGCTTCCAACGAAATCCTCCAAGCTATCCAAATATCCACTTGCATTTTCCACAAAAAGAGTGCTTCAAAACTGCTCTATCAATAAATGTTCAACTCCTTTAGCTGGGTGCACACATCACAAACAAGTTTCTGAGAATGCTTCTGTCTAGTTTTTATGGGAAGACATTCCCTTTTTCACCAAAGGCATCAAAGCGCTCCAAATGTCCACTTCCAGACACTACAAAAAGAGTGTTTCCAACGTGCTCTAAGAAAGCGAATGTTCAACTCTGTGACTTGAATACAGATATCACAAAGTAGTTTCTGAGAGGGCTTCTGTCTAGATTTTAGTTGATGATATTCCCATTTCCAACGAAATCATTAGAGCTATCCAAATATTCACTTACAGTTTCTACAAAAAGAGTGTTTCCAAACTGCTGCATCAGAAGAGAGGTTCCACTCTGTTAGCTGAGTACACACATCACAAACTTGTTTCTCAGAATCCTTCTGTCTCGTTTTTATGGGAAGATATTTACTTTTTCATCGTAGGCCTCAAATCGCTCCAAATGTCCACATCCAGATACTACAGAAAGAGTATTTCAAACCTGCCCTATGAAAGGGAATGCTCAACTCTATGAGTTGAATGCAGACATCAGAAAGAAATTTCTGAGAATGCTGCTGTCTACCTTTTATTTGAATTCCCGCTTCCAACGAAATCCTCCAAGCTATCCAAATATCCACTTGCAGATTCCACAAAAAGAGTGTTTCAAAACTGCTCTCTATCAATGGCAAAGTTCAACTCTGTTAGTTGAGGACACATATCACCAACAAGTTTCTGAGAATGCTCTGTCTATTTTTTATGGGAAGATATTTCCTTTTTCACCGTAGGCGTCAAGGCGATCGAAATGTCCACTTCCACAAACTACAAAAAGAGTGTTTCAAACCTGCTCTATGAAAGGCGATGTTCATCTCAATGAGTTGAATGGAAATATCCGAAAGAAATTTCTGGGAATGCTGGCTGTCTAGTTTTATACGAATTCCCGCTTCCAACGAAATCCTCAAAGCAATCCAAATATCCACTTGCAGAATCCACAAAAGAGTGTTTCAAAACTGCTCTATCAATAGAAAGGTTCAACTCTTGTAGTTGAGTACACACATCACAAACAAGTTTCTGAGAATGCTTCTGTCTGGCTTTTATTGGAAGACGTTTCCTTTTCACCAAAGGCATCAAAGCGCTCCAAATGTCCACTTCCAGATTCTTCCAAAAGAGTGTTTGAAACGTGCTCAAAGTAAGGGAATGTTCAACTCTGTGACTTGAATGCAGATATCACCAAGTAGTTTCTAATAGTGCTTCTGTCTAGATTTTAGATGATGATATTCCCGTTTCCAACGAAATCGTTAGAGCTATCCAAATATCCATTACAGTTGCTACAAAAACAGTGTTTCCAAACTGCTGCATCAAAAGAAAGGTTCAACTCTGTTAGTTGAGGACACACATCACAAAGAAGTTTGTGAGAATGCTTCTGTCTAGATTTTGTATGACCATATTCCCTTTTCCAGCGGTATCATTAAAGCAATCTAAATATCCATTTGCAGAATCCACAAAAATAGAGTTTCAAAGCTGCTCTGTAAAAAGAAAGGTTCCACTCTGTTAGCTGAGTACACACATCACAAACTTGTTTCTCAGAATCCTTCTGTCTCGTTCTTATGGGAAGATATTTACTTTTTCACCGTAGGCATCAAAGCGCTCCAAATGTCCACATCCAGATACTCCAGAAACAGTGTTTCAAACCTGCTCTATGAAAGGGAATCTTCAACTCTATGAGTTGAATGCAGACATCAGAAACTAATTTCTCAGAATGCTGCTGTCTACCTTTATTTGAATTCCCGCTTCCAACGAAATCCTCCAAGCTATCCAAATATCCACTTGCATTTTCCACAAAAAGAGTGTTTCAAAACTGCTCTATCAATAGAAATGTTCAACTCCTTTAGCTGGGTACACACATCACAAACAAGTTTCTGAGAATGCTTCTGTCTAGTTTTTATGGGAAGACGTTCCCTTTTTCACCAAAGGCATCAAAGCGCTCCAAATGTCCACTTCCAGACACTACAAAAAGAGTGTTTCAAACGTGCTCTAAGAAAGCGAATGTTCAACTCTGTGACTTGAATGCAGATATCACAAAGTAGTTTCTGAGTGAGCTTCTGTCTAGATTTTAGATGATGATATTCCCGTTTCCAAAGAAATCATTAGAGCTATCCAAATATCCACTTACAGTTTCTACAAAAAGAGTGTTTCCAAACTGCTGCATCAAAAGAGAGGTTCCACTCTGTTAGCTGAGTACACACATCACAAACTTGTTTCTCAGAATCCTTCTGTCTCGTTTTTATGGGAAGATATTTACTTTTTCACCGTAGGCATCAAAGCGCTCCAAATGTCCACATCCAGATACTACAGAAAGAGTATTTCAAACCTGCCCTATGAAAGGGAATCTTCAACTCTATGAGTTGAATGCAGAGATCAGAAAGAAATTTCTGAGAATGCTGCTGTCTACCTTTTATTTGAATTCCCGCTTCCAACGAAATCCTCCAAGCTATCCAAATATCCACTTGCAGATTCCACAAAAAGAGTGTTTCAAAACTGCTCTCTATCAATGGCAAAGTTCAACTCTGTTAGTTGAGGACACGTATCGCCAACAAGTTTCTGAGAATGCTTCTGTCTATTTTTTATGGGAAGATATTTCCTTTTTCACCGTAGGCGTCAAGGCGATCGAAATGTCCACTTCCACAAACTACAAAAAGAGTGTTTCAAACCTGCTCTATGAAAGGCCATGTTCATCTCTATGAGTCGAATGGAAATATCCGAAAGAAATTTCTGGGAATGCTGCTGTCTAGTTTTTATACGAATTCCCGCTTCCAACGAAATCCTCAAAGCAATCCAAATATCCTCTTGCAGAATCCACAAAAAGAGTGTTTCAAAACTGCTCTATCAATAGAAAGGTTCAACTCTTTTAGTTGAGTACACACATCACAAACAAGTTTCTGAGAATGCTTCTGTCTGGCTTTTATTGGAAGACGTTTCCTTTTCACCAAAGGCATCAAAGCGCTCCAAATGTCCACTTCCAGATTCTTCCAAAAGAGTGTTTCAAACGTGCTCAAAGTAAGGGAATGTTCAACTCTGTGACTTGAATGCAGATATCACCAAGTAGTTTCTAATAGTGCTTCTGTCTAGATTTTAGATGATGATATTCCCGTTTCCAACGAAATCGTTAGAGCTATCAAAATATCCACTTACAGTTTCTACAAAAACAGTGTTTCCAAACTGCTGCATCAAAAGAAAAGTTCAACTCTGTTAGTTGAGGACACACATCACAAAGAAGTTTGTGAGAATGCTTCTGTCTAGATTTTGTATGACGATATTCCCTTTTCCAACGATATCGTTAAAGCAATCTAAATATCAATTTGCAGAATCCACAAAAATAGAGTTTCAAAGCTGCTCTGTAAAAAGAAATGTTCCACTCTGTTAGCTGAGTACACACATCACAAACTTGTTTCTGAGAATCCTTCTGTCTCGTTTTTATGGGAAGATATTTACTTTTCCACCGTAGGCATCAAAGCGCTCCAAATGTCCACATCCAGATACTCCAGAACGAGTGTTTCAAACCTGCTCTATGAAAGGGAATCTTCAACTCTATGAGTTGAATGCAGACATCAGAAAGAAATTTCTGAGAATGCTGCTGTCTACCTTTTATTTGAATTCCCGCTTCCAACGAAATCCTCCAAGCTATCCAAATATCCACCTGCATTTTCCACAACAAGAGTGTTTCAAAACTGCTCTATCAATAGAAATGTTCAACTCCTTTGGCTGGGTACACACATCACAAACAAGTTTCTGAGCATGCTTCTGTCTAGTTTTTATGGGAAGACATTCCCTTTTTCACCAAAGGCATCAAAGCGCTCCAAATGTCCACTTCCAGACACTACAAAAAGAGTGTTTCAAACGTGCTCTAAGAAAGCGAATGTTCAACTCTGTGACTTGAATGCAGATATCACAAAGTAGTTTCTGAGAGTGCTTCTGTCTAGACTTTAGATGATGATATTCCCGTTTCCAACGAAATCATTAGAGCTATCCAAATATCCACTTACAGTTTCTACAAAAAGAGTGTTTCCAAACTGCTGCATGAAAAGAGAGGTTCCACTCTGTTAGCTGAGTACACACATCACAAACTTGTTTCTCAGAATCCGTCTGTCTCGTTTTTACGGGAAGATATTTACTTTTTCACCGTAGGCATCAAAGCGCTCCAAATGTCCACATCCAGATACTCCAGAAAGAGTGTTTCAAACCTGCTCTATGAAAGGGAATCTTCAACTCTATGAGTTGAATGCAGACATCAGAAAGAAATTTCTGAGAATGCTGCTGTCTACCTTTTATTTGAATTCCCGCTTCCAACGAAATCCTCCAAGCTATCCAAATATCCACTTGCAGATTCCACAAAAAGAGTGTTTCAAAACTGCTCTCTATCAATGGCAAAGTTCAACTCTGTTAGTTGAGGACACATATCACCAACAAGTTTCTGAGAATGCTTCTGTCTATTTTTTATGGGAAGATATTTCCTTTTTCACCGTAGGCGTCAAGGCGATCGAAATGTCCACTTCCACAAACTACAAAAAGAGTGTTTCAAACCTGCTCTATGAAAGGCCATGTTCATCTCTATGAGTTGAATGGAAATATCCGAAAGAAATTTCTGGGAATGCTGCTGTCTAGTGTTTATACGAATTCCCGCTTCCAACGAAATCCTCAAAGCAATCCAAATATCCACTTGCAGAATCCACAAAAAGAGTGTTTCAAAACTGCTCTATCAATAGAAAGGTTCAACTCTTTTAGTTGAGTGCACACATCACGAACAAGTTTCTGAGAATGCTTCTGTCTGGCTTTTATTGGAAGACGTTTCCTTTTCACCAAAGGCATCAAAGCGCTCCAAATGTCCACTTCCAGATTCTTCCAAAAGAGTGTTTCAAACGTGCTCGAAGTAAGGGAATGTTCAACTCTGTGACTTGAATGCAGATATCACCAAGTAGTTTCTAATAGTGCTTCTGTCTACATTTTAGATGATGATATTCCCGTTTCCAACGAAATCGTTAGAGCTATCCAAATATCCAGTTACAGTTTCTACCAAAAGGGTGCCTCCAAATTGCTGCATCAAAAGAAAGGTTCAACTCTGTTAGTTGAGGACACACATCACAAAGAAGTTTGTGAGAATGCTTCTGTCTAGATTTTGTATGACGATATTCCCTTTTCCAACGATATCGTTAAAGCAATCTAAATATCAATTTGTAGAATCCACAAAAATAGAGTTTCAAAGCTGCTCTGTAAAAAGAAAGGTTCCACTCTGTTAGCTGAGTATACACATCACAAACTTGTTTCTGAGAATCCTTCTGTCTCGTTTTTATGGGAAGATATTTACTTTTTCACCGTAGGCATCAAAGCGCTCCAAATGTCCACATGCAGATACTCCAGAAAGACTGTTTCAAACCTGCTCTATGAAAGGGAATCTTCAACTCTATGAGTTGAATGCAGACATCAGAAAGAAATTTCTGAGAATGCTGCTGTCTACCTTTTATTTGAATTCCCGCTTCCAACGAAATCCTCCAAGCTATCCAAATATCCACCTGCATTTTCCACAAAAAGAGTGTTTCAAAACTGCTCTATCAATAGAAATGTTCAACTCCTTTGGCTGGGTACACACATCACAAACAAGTTTGCTGAGAATGCTTTCTGTCTAGTTTTTATGGGAAGACATTCCCTTTTTCACCAAAGGCATCAAAGCGCTACAAATGTCCACTTCCAGACACTACAAAAAGTGTGTTTCAAACGTGCTCTAAGAAAACGAATGTTCAAATCTGTGACTTGAATGCAGATATCACAAAGTAGTTTCTGAGAGGGCTTCTGTCTAGATTTTAGATGATGATATTCCCGTTTCCAACGAAATCATTAGAGCTATCCAAATATCCACTTACAGTTTCTAGAAAAAGAGTGTTTCCAAACTGCTGCATCAAAAGAGAGGTTCCACTCTGTTAGCTGAGTACACACATCACAAACTTGTTTCTCAGAATCCTTCTGTCTCGTTTTTATGGGAAGATATTTACTTTCTCACCGTAGGCATCAAAGCGCTCCAAATGTCCACATCCAGATACTTCAGAAAGAGTGTTTCAAACCTGCTCTATGAAAGGGAATCTTCAACTCTATGAGTTGAATGCAGACATCAGAAAGAAATTTCTGGGAATGCTGCTGTCTACCTTTTATTTGAATTCCCGCTTCCAACGAAATCCTCCAAGCTATCCAAATATCCACTTGCAGATTCCACAAAAAGAGTGTTTCAAAACTGCTCTCTATCAATGGCAAAGTTCAACTCTGTTAGTTGAGGACACATATCACCAACAAGTTTCTGAGAATGCTTCTGTCTATTTTTTATGGGAAGATATTTCCTTTTTCACCGTAGGCGTCAAGGCGATCGAAATGTCCACTTCCACAAACTACAAAAAGAGTGTTTCAAACCTGCTCTATGAAAGGCCATGTTCATCTCTATGAGTCGAATGGAAATATCCGAAAGAAATTTGCTGGGAATGCTGGCTGTCTAGTTTTTATACGAATTCCCGCTTCCAACGAAATCCTCAAAGCAATCCAAATATCCACTTGCAGAATCCACAAAAAGAGTGTTTCAAAACTGCTCTATCAATAGAAAGGTTCAACTCTTTTAGTTGAGTACACACATCACAAACAAGTTTCTGAGAATGCTTCTGTCTGGCTTTTATTGGAAGACGTTTCCTTTTCACGAAAGGCATCAAAGCGCTCCAAATGTCCACTTCCAGATTCTTCCAAAAGAGTGTTTCAAACGTGCTCAAAGTAAGGGAATGTTCAACTCTGTGACTTGAATGCAGATATCACCAAGTAGTTTCTAATAGTGCTTCTGTCTAGATTTTAGATGATGATATTCCCGTTTCCAACGAAATCGTTAGAGCTATCCAAATATCCACTTACAGTTGCTACAAAAAGAGTGTTTCCAAACTGCTGCATCAAAAGAAAGGTTCAACTCTGTTAGTTGAGGACACACATCACAAAGAAGTTTGTGAGAATGCTTCTGTCTAGATTTTGTATGACGATATTCCCTTTTCCAACGATATCGCTAAAGCAATCTAAATATCAATTTGCAAAATCCACAAAAATAGAGTTTCAAAGCTGCTCTGTAAAAAGAAAGGTTCCACTCTGTTAGCTGAGTACACACATCACAAACTTGTTTCTGAGAATCCTTCTGTCTCGTTTTTATGGGAAGATATTTACTTTTCCACCGTAGGCATCAAAGCGCTCCAAATGTCCACATCCAGATACTCCAGAACGAGTGTTTCAAACCTGCTCTATGAAAGGGAATCTTCAACTCTATGAGTTGAATGCAGACATCAGAAAGAAATTTACTGAGAATGCTGCTGTCTACCTTTTATTTGAATTCCCGCTTCCAACGAAATCCTCCAAGCTATCCAAATATCCACCTGCATTGTCCACAAAAAGAGTGTTTCAAAACTGCTCTATCAATAGAAATGTTCACTCCTTTAGCGGGGTACACACATCACAAACAAGTTTCTGAGAATGCTTCTGTCTAGTTTTTATGGGAAGACGTTCCCTTTTTCACCAAAGGCATCAAAGCGCTCCAAGTGTCCACTTCCAGACACTACAAAAAGAGTGTTTCAAACGTGCTCTAAGAAACCGAATGTTCAACTCTGTGACTTGAATGCAGATATCACAAAGTAGTTTCTGAGAGGGCTTCTGTCTAGATTTTAGATGATGATATTCCCGTTTCCAACGAAATCATTAGAGCTATCCAAATATCCACTTACAGTTTCTACAAAAAGAGTGTTTCCAAACTGCTGCATCAAAAGAGAGGTTCCACTCTGTTAGCTGAGTACACACATCACAAACTTGTTTCTGAGAATCCTGCTGTCTACCTTTTATTTGAATTCCCGCTTCCAACGAAATCCTCCAAGCTATCCAAATATCCACTTGCATTTTCCACAAAAAGAGTGTTTCAAAACGGCTCTCTATCAATGTCAAAGTTCAACTCTGTTAGTTGAGGACACATATCACCAACAAGTTTCTGAGAATGCTTCTGTCTATTTTTTATGGGAAGATATTTCCTTTTTCACCGTAGGCGTCAAGGCGATCGAAATGTCCACTTCCACAAACTACAAAAAGAGTTTTTCAAACCTGCTCTATGAAAGGCCATGTTCATCTCTATGAGTTGAATGGAAATATCCGAAAGAAATTTCTGGGAATGCTGCTGTCTAGTGTTTATACGAATTCCCGCTTCCAATGAAATCCTCAAAGCAATCCAAAAATCCACTTGCAGAATCCACAAAAAGAGTGTTTCAAAACTGCTCTATCAATAGAAAGGTTCAACTCTTTTAGTTGAGTACACACATCACGAACAAGTTTCTGAGAATGCTTCTGTCTG